>NC_000009.12:106099339-106250855 GCF_000001405.40 Homo sapiens
TCCTGGATTTTTTCTCCAATTCCAGCTTCTCATCTGGAAGTGTCTTGGTTTGGCTGATAAATTGTACGATTAGCCTATATATAGCTATAGGTTTTAGGTCCTTGACAGAGTATTAATTGGTTACAACCCTGCAGACTCCCAGATAGTACCTTGAGCCAAGTCCTCTTCACATGCCAGGCTTCATGGGTGCATCTGGAAAGCAGGCACATGATGAGCAATGGGTAGACATGTTGGAATAGTGAAACTTCCAGATGCAGGCTACAACAAAAAACAGAGCAGAGGGACAAAGAGCCTGCCATGTAGTAGGTGAGGTCAGAGAAGGCAAGTGCATGTAGCTCAAAAAGAAATAGTCTGAGTTATGATAGACATTCTCTGAACAAAAGCACCTACGTGCAGTCAGAAAACAGATAAACATGTACCCTTACCGTGAGACAAGCTGCAGTGGTAACTCAAGAAGGGAGCAGGTGAATTCCCTGATAGGAATTCTGCTGTTTCTTTTCTCAATTTTTGAAAATCCTTTTCCTCTGTAGTCTGTGGATTCTGAAAGCGTTAGAGGCAGAGGTGACTGGGGTGACATGGAATTCTGTATATTATACCTTTGTTGTTAATTTAAAATTTTATTGCCTTGTGGTCTGTATGATACTAATTATTTGGAATTTATTGAATTTTTTTTTGGTAGCCTACTACATGGCACATCTATGTAAATGTTGTATATGTGCTTGAAATGAAAGTGTGTTCTTTATAGTGTGAAAAGATCTCTCTATATCTAAAAATATAAGCTTTTAAATTATGTTATTTATATCTTCTGTATATCTGACTACTTTTTGAGGAGAAGGTATTTAAAATCTCCCAAATCTTCCACCACATTTGTCTATTTATCTACTTCCTTCTCTAGTTCTATCAGTTGCTGCATTATATAGTTTGAGACTATGCTGTTAGGTTCATATATTCATGAAGCCAACTGTTGTGGTCTTTGCCTTTAGATGATACTTCGGAGTACAAAACTGGTTAGTTTTTTTTGATGTGAAAGCAATGAATCATTGTGTTCTTGCATCCAGTGTTTGCCCTTGAGAATTGTGATATCACTATGATTCTTTTTCTTTTTTCTTTTTTTTTGATTTCATTTTATTTTTATTTTTTTGAATTTAATTTTAAGTTCTGGGATACAAGTGCAGGACATGTAGGTTTGGTAGACAGGTAAACCTGTGCCATGGTGGTTTGCTGCACCTATCAACCCATCACTTAGGTGTTAGGCCCCACATACATTAGCTATTTATCCTGATGCTCTCCCTCTCCCTGCTTCTTCGACAGGCCCCAGTGGGTGTTGTTCCCCTCCCTGTGTCCATGTGTTCTCATTGTTCAGCGTCTACTTATAAGTGATAACATGATATTTTTGGTTTTCTCTTCCTGTGTTGGTTTGCTGACGATAATGGCTTCCAGCTCCATCCATGTCCCTGCAAAGGACATGATCTCATTCTTTTTTATGGCTGCATAGTATCCTGTAGTGTATATGTACCACATTTTCTTTATCCAGCCTATTACTGATGGGCATTTGGGTTGATTCCATGTCTTTGCTATTGTGAATAAGCGCGGGCAAATATTTCATGAAGATTCTTTTTCTTTTGTTGGCAATCTGTAGCTCCTTTTTGAAATCTTAAAAAAAAATATGTTAATCTATCAAATTTTCTCTTGTCTTCGATTATCTAAAATTTATTTTAATATGTATCAGTGTGTGTTTTTCTGTATCCTGTTTGGCACTTTGAAGCCTTAAGTTAAACATGTCATCTCTTTTTTCTTTTTAACTTGGGAAGATTTTATGTTCTTTATTTCTCCTCATATTTCTTGCCTTATTTTTTTTCCAATTTTTTTCTGGAGCTTCTAGTATATGGATGTTAGTGTTTCTAGTTCTCATATCCATGTTGCTTAGATTTTCTATGTCATTGCCTTTTTTGTCTGCCTTCTGGTTTTCTCAATCATATCTTACATTTCATTAACTTATTGATCAGCAATATCCACTATACAATTTATTCCATCTATTTACGTTCTTTGACTGTTATACTTTTTGTGGTCAATACTTCCTTTGATTATATTTATGATTCTCATTTCTTTTTGAGAATATTATGCTTAATTTAAAATGTTTATGTGCATATACATAATTATATAATAATTATATAATAATTGGCATATAGTGCTGCTTGTTAATGTTTTTTAAAAAATATTGTCCACTTCAAATTTCTACTAGTTTTGGCTTATGAGTTCATGTTTTCCTAGGAATATCAACTCCTCATATACTAATGTATATGAAGGAGAAGGCCAATACTGAAGCCATATGCTGTGTTTCTCCTGGTGACTACAGGGAGGAAGAGAAGTAAACTGTTTATGTCCTTTTTGTCACCACTCTATCAAGCAACATTTATGGTCAGGGATTTTCCCTTAAACTATATTTGGTAGAAATAGCACTGGGAAGAGGAAAATCTCATTAGATCAGTGGTTTTCAAGCTGCATACTTAATGGGAGTATAGCCACTATTTTAAAAAATGAAGTAGAATTGAATAGAATGAAATATCAGAGTACATCACAATTCATTAATGTAATTATTGTTTAGTGAAACTTTTGTTTCAGCTCTGTATATACACAACAAAAAAGGTGTGTACCAGGAATAAACATATTCCTTACTGTTGATAATGATCAAACATTTTGAAAGCTATTGCGTTAGATTTAATCTACCAATCTTTGGGTTGGGGCAGGGAAGGCTGATGATCCATCTCTACCTTGTTTCCTTGGTTCTTTATCCCAGCAGGGCTTTGGGGCTCCCCTGATATAGTCCTACAGACACTGTGATTTTTATCTCTCAGGGCAGCCATGATTCTGTCAAGACAATTCTGAGGAAAGGCTGGAGCAGAATGTAAAAGCTGTCTTCTATCTTACTCTCTGCCATACCTGGGCTATCTAGCCAAACATGGCATCATCCTCCAGCCTTCTCCTTCCCAAGATTACTTCATTTTCCAGGCTCCCCACAGGGTTCTGACAGTATTTAGGCAGTGCCTCAGAGGCTTGATTTCCTTTCTTATTTATTAGTTCCTCTCTTATTTAATAGTTTCTCTGGGGTTGATCTTGGGAGCTGGGAAAGAGCCAGTTGCACTAGTTACTTCTCAGTTTTTTCAGGACCTAGAGCCAACTACATTTTGAATATTTGAGATTTCCATATATTAAATTCAGAATCATGCTTTGTTTGACTTAGCCTTATATCAAATGCATTTTCTTTATCATCAAAAGTCCAAATGAACATAATTTTAATGGCTATGTAATATTCCATCTAATAATATTACCACAATGTATTTAATCATTTTTATATTGTTGGCTATTTAGAGTGCTTTCATTTTTCTTTTTTCACAACAACATGTGACTCTGGGTTGGGAATTTTTATGTCTTAATCTTTGCCTAGAGTTTAGATTAGAATAACTTTTAAATTTGTAACCTGACCATACTACTACCCAGCTTATAAAGAGCTTATTTTTACCCACTGATACATTTTTGTAGCTGAAAGGAAGAACTGCTATTAAAACAACCCTAAAATGATTGGAGCAACTTCTGCATTTGAAGGGTGCTGAGGAATTATTCTCAAGAACAAACTCAATCTTTTGTTTAGAAGCCATATTAATGAAACTTCTGCTATGAAAGTCAAGACAATGTGCGGTGATGTGATAAGGAAGTGTAGTTTAAGGAAACTAAACTTTTCTGCATCACAGTGTGAATGATAGAGACATTGTTCTGCTGTATAACCTGTTTTGGTATCTTCATAGTGCATCCCTGATCAGTAGTTTGTAAGGAGCCTTGACATTGGGAAGAGGAGAGGAAACGGAAGGAAGGACCTGGTTCTGAGTAAATGCAGGACCTGGGAAGACGACAGGAGGTAAGAGTCTAGTGAGAGAGGAGGACCCCAGTAGGAGAATACCTCAGACAAGGCATGTGTGTGGGTGGCTGATGAAAGGATGTGTGATAGCCAATGTTTCCTGTTTTAAACTTATTCTGCTATTCCTCCTTCTCCTTTTCTCCCTTTGCCTATCTCAAAACATTAGTAGAGCATTAATACTGAGTGTCAATTTGATTGGATTGAAGAATTCAAAGTATTGATCCTGGGTGTGTCTGTGAGGGTGTTGCCAAAGGAGATTAACATTTGAGTCAGTGGGCTGGAAAAGGCAGACCCATCCTTAATCTGGGTGGGCACCAGCTAATCAGCTACCAGCATGGCCAGAATATAAAGCAGGCCGAAAAACATGAAAAGACTAGACTGGCCTAGACTTCCAGCCTACATCTTTCTCCTGTGCTGGATGCTTCCTGCCTGCAAACATCAGACTCCAAGTTCTCCAGTTTTGGGACTCAGACTGGCTCTCCTTACTCCTCAGCTTGCAGATGACCTATTGTGGGACCTTGTGATTGTGTGAGGTAATACTTAATAAACTCCCCTTTATATATCTATCTATCCTATTAGTTCTGTCCCTGTAGGGAACCCTGACTAATATAGCTGTGTTAGTGGCTAACTAAGAGTTAACCTTGTGTAAAGGCTGCCTTGGAGAATAAAGGGTTCCACTTATGATGATGGAGAAATCAGAGACAGCTGAAGCTGCATGAGAGGAGGCCCAAGGTAATTTAGGTAAAACTTGGGCTGACAGAAGACAACCATGACTTGTCAGCACCTGCCTCAGAACTTCTCAGTTCATGCAGAGAATTTGCAGTCACATGAAGAAAGAAGCTTGGATTGTTTTATTCAGGTGGTAAAGAAAAGAGGTCCTTATAAAGATAAAGGACTTGGGGACATTTTGGGGAGCAAGGCTTTAACAGGCAATCAAGATCCTATTGTGTGCTTTCTTAATACCCTATGCTGCTTTTTCATGCCATCAGTTCCAGAAGTAGTCAAATAATTATGTATTTAGTTGTTCAGTGTAGTGTCTGCTTTCCATTTAGAATGTGAGGTGCCCAAGGCCAAGAAAGGGTTTGTTGGGTTTCCTAGCCTCTAAAACAGACTCTGGCACAAGATAAATGCATGGCAAATGTTTTTGAAATAAAGGAATGTAATCAATTGCTGTTGTTTCTATTGTTATTAAAGGGAAGCACTCAAATATAATAATTACTATGCTAGGGCACTGGAATTAGGGATACCATCCCTGTCTTTTTTCGTATTTTTCTATGCATCTTTTATATTTTCACCAAAGAGTGAAAAAACAAGAGTAACTCTTGGTAAGACCTCTTTACATTGAGTGTTTGTTATATTCTTTGGTGTTTTGCTTCTGTTTCTATGTTCTTTTTGATACTTGAGATTGATTGGTGAAGCTCTTCTATGATGCCCAGGTCTACCCACCAGAGAGCTAATTACAAAGCTATTCAATGGCACTCCTCTGCCTTTTGGAACCTGAAGTTTTGTCATTTGGCCTGCCAATGTGGAAATTTATGTTTAGATCCTGATTCTTAGACATATCTTGATAAATTATGAGAATACTGAATCTAAGATTTTTATGTTCATAGATTCATACTGTGTCATAAAGGGAAGGTTTCTATAAATAAAAAACATATACTTCTCTCTTTTTTGGTTGCCTTCATTAATAATTAGTTGACTTTCACTTACCTTGAAAAATGTTATAAATGTTTGACCAGCTACCCCTTTGAGAATTGAGGGGGGATTTGGTCCATTGAATGTAATAAGTGAGGTGGTAACTCCAGATTCTCTTGGGTTGCTGCAGCTGACAAGCTGTGTTTGTTTTAGGTCTTCTCCTTGGCCCTTTAAAGTGGCTTCCTCTTTTCTGACATGCTCCAGTGGAAGCAGCTGCAAAAACCAAAGGGAGAATGAAAAATCCTCTTTTCAGATTAGACTGAGAATAAAATCCAGAAAGCACAACCTGATTAGAATGGAATGATATTGATCCTGCTTCACTTCCACCCTTATAAAAATAACAATTTCTTCACTGCTCTTTGCTTTCAACCTTTCGGTGCATCTAGTTCGCCCTTTTGGTATTCATTCCCTCATCTCTCTTTTATCCCTCAATGTACTACAGCAGGATTCCATCCTGTATCACCTCACTGGAGCTGCTTAGGCAATGAATAGTCTCCTAATTGACAAATGTGAGGTTTGATTTTTATTCTGTCTGTCATTTGATATCTGCATTTCTTTTTTGTCTACGATGATTCTGTCTCCTAGAAAATCTCCTTCTATGACCCTGAAATCTCTTAAATGTCTTCTTCCTCTTTTGGCTTCACCTTTTCACTGTTTTTCTTGCCTCCTCTTTCTTTACCACCATTAACGTGTTGGTATTCCCCAAGATTCTATTCTTGGCTGCCTCTTCTCTTCTCTTCTTCTTTTTTCTTTTTTTTTTTTTTTTTTTTTTGAGACGGATTCTTGCTCTTGTTGCTCAAGCTGGAGTGCAATGGTGCGACGTTGGCTCACTGCAACCTCTGCCTCCCAGGTTCAAGTGATTCTCCTGCATCAGCTTCCTGAGTAGCTGGGATTACAGTTGCCCACCACCATGCCTGGCTAATTTTTTGTATTTTTAGTAGAGGTGGGGTTTCACCATATAGGCCAGGCTGGTCTTGAACTCCTTACGTCAGGTGATCCACCCAACTCAGCCTCCCAAATTGCTGGGATTACAGGCATGAGCCACCACACCTGGCTCTTGGCTGACTTTTCTACTTTCCAAGCTCTTTAGGTGATTGCCTTCAATACCATGAGTTTAGCACGTGAACACCAGTGTTTCCAAAATATGTATTTCCAGCTGAGATTTCTCTCTTGGAACTTCAGTTACATATTTCCAATCATCTAGGTGACACATCCTTCGACTATGTAACCAAAGGCAATTCAAACTCAATACATTTAAAACTGAATTTATTTTATTATCTTCTCCACAAAACACCTGGATCCTCTTCCTATATTTCCTACCTTGGTTAATGATGCCGTCATATACCTTCCAGAAATCCAGAAGTTGAATAATAATAATTCTTTTCTGCCCATGCAATTAATCACCAGGTCCTATAGATTCTACCCAATAAATGTCTCTCATGTGTATTTTGTCCTCTTCATTCAACATGCCATTGCCCACATACCTTCTACCAATTCCATCCTCTCTACTGCCATCAAAATTGTCTTTCTAAAGTATAGATGTCTTTCTAAAATCTTGGCACACACCTGGTTAAAAACTGTATTGAGGCCGGGCATGATGGCTCATGTCTGTAATACCATCACTTTGGTAGGGTAAGGCAGGTAGATTGCTTAAGCTCAGGAATTTGAGTACAGCCTGGACAACATGGTGAAACATCGACTCTACAAAAAAAATACAGATATTAGCCAAGTGTGGTGGCATGTGCTGAAGTGGGAGGATGAAGTGGCGGGAGGCTGAAGTGGGAGGATGGCTTGAGCCTGGAAAGTCAAGGCTGCAGTGAGCTGAGATCATGCCACTACAGTCCAGCCTGAATGACAAACTGAGAACCTGTCTCAAAAAACAAACAAACAAACAAAAAACCCCAAAACAAAGCAAAAAAAACACACCAAAACCAAAAAAACTTTATTGAATGAAAAATGAGGTTTAAACTCCTTAGGAGGAAAAACATGGTCCCTTCCATGAAGGAAATTAATCTCCTACATACTACCATGGCACTTTGTATATACTTCTATAATGGTTTTTGGAATATAATATATGGTTACTTTATTTTATTTTTTGAGATGGAGTCTCTGTCGCCCAGGCTAGAGTGTGGTGGCATGATCTCCGCTTACTACAACCTCCGCCTCCCAGGTTCAAGCGATTCTGCCTCAGCCTCCCAAGTAGCTGGGACTACAGGTGCCCGCCACCATCCTGGCTAATTTTTTTTTTTTTTTTTGTATTTTTGTATTTTTAGTAGAGACAGGGTTTCACTGTGTTGACCAGGCTAGTCTTGAACTCCTGACCCCGTGATCTGCCCACGCCGGCCTCCCAAAGTGCTGGGATTACAGGCGTGAGCCACCAGGCCTGGCCAGTATGTGGTTATTATATATACTACATATGTGATTTATCAAATGGACTATAAAACTCCTTGAAACAAGAGCCATGTCTTTTATTTTTGTATTTCTAGTGCTAACCACACAGAATAAAACTAGATTTAAATAAAGTGAACAAATGGATGAACTGGGGAAGAAATGTTGAAAGATTTGTTCTGTACAATGACCAACATCAAATGATCGAAGTATAAGACATTGATGGGGTGATATGAAAATAGTGAAAATGGGAGAGGTCACCAGTTTATAAAAGTCCATTAACTGGAACACTGGATAATTTGTCATTTCAGAACACGCTCTGTGCTTTTTCAGGACCTGCCTCCATGGTGGTTTTAAGATATGTCTAAAAATTCTTGACACTCCTCTCTTTTAAAAATGGAGCCTGATTTCCCTCCCTTGAATGTGAGTCAGACTTCATGACTTGCCTCTAACAAATAGGATGTGGCAGAAAAGATGTCATATGACTTCCGAGGCTAGATCATTAAGAAGGTAGCTTCTGTTGGCTCTTTCTCTTCTTTTGATTGCTTATGTTAGGGAAAGCCCATTTCCATGCTATGAAGACACTCACACAGCCTATGAAGAGGCCCCTGTGAGGAGGAACTGAGGCCTCCACCACCAACCAGCCACAACTTTCCAGCCGTGTAAATGAATCACCTTGAATGAAAATTTTCTTGCCAGTCAAGCCTTCAAATGACTACAGCCCCAGCCAATATCTTAACTGAAACTCCATGAGAAATTGCAAGATAAAATTGCCCAGCAAGCATGCTCTGGAATTTCAGACCCACAGAAACTGTAAGAATAATCAATGTTTATTTTTGTTTTAATCTACTGGCTTTTTAAGTAGTTTGTTATGCAGTAATAGATAGCTAATACATGCTCTACTAAGAATAATTCTTCTTTTGATCTCTTAGCATCCCATGTATTCTTTCAGGTCTAATTTGTTATGCAGCAATAGATAGCTAATGCATTCTGTACTAAGAATGACCCTCCTCTTGATCTTTTAGAATCTCATATATTCTTTCAGGTTCTGCTTCCGTTGTCCTGGATTATTCCCAGCTTCCTCCAGTCAGAGCTGATATTTACCTCTTGTAGTTTTACCTCCTTTTATTGCTTAATATTATTTATTCTTTTAGCAAAAATGTATTCATTACTCAATCTGTGCAGTATTCTATGCAGGGCATGGAAACCAAAAGATGAATGACTCAAAATTTTTGAAAATGGTTTTCTCTCCAAATATGCCCACTTTTCCTTGAGAAAAAGATTTTGATTGTTCTTCATTGTTAAGTTGTTTTGGGGCTTAAAAGTGTGAGTGTTGGGTTAAGGTTGTCTGGATAAGCATCCAGGCTTAGCCTGTTTCCTGTCCCAGCTTACTACCTGACTTCGGACAAGTTACCTCTCAAGGCTTAAGTTTCTGTCTGTAAAATGGGCATAACAGTAATTCCTGTCTTACGTGGTTATTATGAAGGGTAAATGGGATCATACATGTTCAGTGCTTAGCATGGTACCTGACACTAAGTAAATTCTCAATAAACATGTTGTATTATTGTCATTGATTATCCCACTCAATATCTAGCATAGTGACTAAAATAGGGTAGGTATTCAGGAGAGAAATGTTTGTTAAATTAAAATGTAAATGGAATAGGTTACTTTTGATATTGGAGGATAGATAGTCAGAAAAGCATTTCAGACATGAGGTGTCAGTCATTATTCATGCAGCACTGAGTCACTGAGTAAAATCAACTCAGTAACTTATTAATTGTTTAATTAACTTATTAAATGTTTAGTTACTATGTGCCATTAACTAGAGACATAGGAAAATGAGTGAAAGACATAGAAGGGCCAAGTGTTTGGACACTGGAGAAAACGTTTCTTAACCCAGGTGCTTCCATGGGAAAGCAAATTCCCTACTGCCAGAGTCCTAGATTCAGCAAATATTTATTGAGCCACTATTATATGCCAGGCAGTGTTACAGGAGCTTGGGGTACAGCGAATTTTCATTCATTTGATAAATATTTATTGAACACCTTTTTTGTGTGTGTGCCATTCTTTCAGTTCCATTCTGTGAACAAAACAGATGAGGATTTCAGCTTTCATGGACCTTTCTCACAAGGAGAAATGGACAATAAATCATATTCACCTTTGATGATTAACACTGAGTGTTAACTTGATTGGACTGAAGGATGTAAAGTATTGTTTCTGGGTGTATCTGTGAGGGTGTTGTCAAAGGAGATTAACATTTGAGTCAGTGGACTGGGAGAGGCAGACCCACCCTCAACCTGGGTGCGCACAATCTAATCAGCTGCTAGCATGGCTAGAATAAAACAGGCAGAAGAAGTTGTAAAGAGCAGACTTGCTGAGTCTTCTGGCGTTCATCTTTCTCCTGTGCTGAATGCTTCCTGCCCTCGAACATCAGACTCCAAGTTCTTCAGCTCTTGGACTCTTGGACTTACCCCAGTGGTTTGCCCAGGGGCTCTTGGGCCTTGGCCAAAGACCAAACAAAGGCTGCACTGTCAGCTTCCCTACTTTTGAGGTTTTGGGACTCAGACTGGCTTCCTTGCTCCTCAGCTTGGAGATGGCCTATTGGGGGACTTCACCTTGTGATCGTATGAGTCAATACTCCTTAATAAACTCCTCTTCATCTATACATCTATCCTGTTAGTTCTGCCCCTCTAGAGAACCCTGACTAATACATCATCCTACCTAGTTAATGATATAATTTGTTAGAAGATAATAGAAGCTATGAGAAAAAGGAAAAGAAAAAGTACAGCAAGATAACAAGGATCAGATATGCCAGGGTTAGTGTATGCAGGGGACTTTGCAGTTTGGTATATTTCTCACTGAGAAAGTGAGATATTGATGAGCAAAACTAAGGTCCTCTTCTACCATCTAGTGAAAGAGACAGACAAGAAGAAAGAAAATAAATCATTAGTGGCTGGGCATGGTGGCTCACACCTGTATCCCAGCACTCTGGGAGGCCAAGGCAGGTGTGGATCATTTGAGACCAGGAGTTTAAGACCAGCCTGGGCAATATAGCAAGACTCTGCCTCTACAAAAAATTATAAAAATGAAAAAAAGTAATGATAAATATCATTAAAAAATAGGATAATGTGAGAAAATCAAGGTCCTAGCTCTGGATATCTGTGCCCTTCCAGGTGGGAAGCCCAGGCCACTACCAGTCCTGCCCATCTGGCTGAAAAGAGTCTCTATTGAAGCACACACCTATGTTATGACCACCTCCTGTGTGTCTGTGAATAGGACAGCAGAACTATTATGTGTTGTAGCAGGTATTGTATTCCAACAAATTGGTCGACAAAAGAAGAGACATTCGTAATCTGTTAGTCATATTTCTGGTGGTGTAAATGGGTGATGATGGATCACTCTAACTAAAAGGTAGACTCTAGCCTCTCTGCACAGGACTGGAGGAGAAACTGTGTGAAGTTTGCCACTGTATAGACAGTATAGGATGTTGTCCTACAGTGGGAAAGATTTGCTTATTATGAGAACAGAATTTCTCATAGGTTTGAATTTGATCTTTAAATGAGGACTATTAAAGGGAGATGGCTCTTTCAGTTTTCTAACATAAATTTTAATTTTATTCCTGATAGATGAGATGTGGCTATGTCTCAGGTTTAAGAAGGAATGATGGGGTTGTGAAATGTTTCTCTTTCAGTTTGGTTGAAAGTAGTAGGAACTCAGAGTTTACATACCCTTAAAAGGGCTGTAGAGAGTGGGGAATATTCAGAGCACAGCCACAAAAGGTGATTAAAGGACCTGGGGAGGAAGGGAAATTAAAATTATTAGGCCTGCAGAAGGGCATGTGTGTGGCCAGGGTGAGAAGAGAAGGGAAGAAAAGGGAACTGACTTAATAATTGTTCTCTTGCCACTAGGGGTAGAACGAGAGGAAACAGGCTTAAATGAAAACAGGATAATTTAAGATAAGAAAGCTGAGTTTTTTCCCTGGGTTCTGGAGGCTGACGTCTCTTCTGTAAGATCTCCAGGGAAGATACACATCAGTCTGGTGTAGTTTATTTTAGCTTTAGTAAACATTTTACCCAAGGTGTGTAGCTTTGTCCATCTCTTTCAATGCTTCCAGCTGGTAAACTGAGAATACATATGATGTCTGAAAGCCGCGTTAGGCTGAAGAAATCTGATCTTAGTGTCGGGTATTGAATTTCCAATTAGAATGCTCATTTGCCCTCTGTGCTGCACACTCTGGGCCTTGGGCTAATTTAAATGGAGTATTTTCAGTGGATCCTGCCTAGAGACAGGAAGGTGGCTTAGGGGCCATCTCCTGCTTTCTTTTATTCTCAACGTACTGTGGGAAATACTGTTTATTCATTTAAGATTGCTGATTGAAGGCCAGATTAAATTATTTTTTATTCAACTAGTGTTGCTTGACATTTTTGTATATGATCTTTAATATTCTTCATTTTTAAAAGGTATGTATAAAATAATCCTCTTTATATACAATACAAATATATTTGTGTGTGTACAAAATAGATATACTATATAGTCATAAAGAGAGATGTAAAAGATGGCCAAGAAAATGTTAATGGTGCTTACATAAGGAAGGTAGAATTTCATGTGACCTTTACTTTCTTTTTTATAGTACCATGTGGTTTTTGAATTTTCTACAATGAGAATGCGCCATCTATATAATCAGAAAGAAAACAATAAAGCTATTGAGAAAAAATACTACCAGCCACATTTTGAGATTATTGTGATACGTCAAAGAGGCAAAATAAGACTTTACTCAGGATTCAAACCCAAAACTCACTCCAAGCCACGTGACTTGCACTTTCTTAGGTAATTTGAAGGGTACAAAGAAGCCAATGACACAGTGCCTTCCCCTGGGGAACTAATAAGCTGGAGAAAAAAGTCATATAAGCCAGAGACATGAAAGACAAAGCCAGGGGCAAAAACAGGGACTGGCTTAGGAGTTCTGTGAAGAGGTCAGGAAGTCCTTCCTGGATGACAGGGGAACTTGAAGATGACAAAACTCAGATAGCTCAGAGAAGGGGAATAACATCCCTGGTAGAAGGCACAGCATCCATAAGGCTCCAGGGGTAGAAATATATAAGGCAAGTGTGGCAGAATAATTTGTTAATATTAATTTGTGTTTTGTGATCTCTTTTCTCCAGAGGTTTAGTTGCAGAGCTGAAAACAGAAGTTATTTGAAGACAACAGACATTGCTGGCCTTTGTTTTTAAAAGCCTCAGTTTATTGAGGGGATCATAGGGGAGAGGGAAGTGGCTAGTGCCTTCGCATGGGACGCAGGACAG
This sequence comes from Homo sapiens, assembly GCF_000001405.40. Classification (NCBI taxonomy): domain Eukaryota; kingdom Metazoa; phylum Chordata; class Mammalia; order Primates; family Hominidae; genus Homo; species Homo sapiens. The sequence goes on from NC_000009.12 coordinate 106,112,639, forward strand.
TTGGAATAGGGGAAAGCCATTTTCCCCAAGACCACAAGTGGGCTGCAGTTTAGGTTTGTAAGAGTGGCTGCACCTGTCCCCTGCACCCTTGCAGTGTCTCAGAGAGCTTGCAAGACCTTGGTAAGGAAGCATGGCATTCTTATTATGTTAAGCTGCACCCTGGGCTCCAGTGCCCAGCTTTGGCAAAGACCCAATGCGAATTGGAAGATTCCTACATACATGTAGAAAACAGAACAATTCCATAGTGCTAAAGAAAACATATGAATATGCAGATGCTTGTGAGGATACATTGCTTTGACCAAGTCAGATAAGTTCTGACACCTTAGTTTCTCCAGCTACCAAATAAATGGGTATATTGATCCCTTCCAGCTCTAAAATTCATCAAATCTACCAAATTAGAATGTCTGTACATGGCATCACTTCATTTCCGCCTGAAATGCGGTGAGGATTGTGTGGAAACCCCATTTCAAAAGAGCGACCACGAGAATGTGCACATATGCATAATGTTTTTCAGCAGGAAGTAGGAGTATACGGCATAGTAATTGAATCTGCCTTTTGAATCTTCTAAGCCAGCAGGATCTGATACCTGATCAGATGAGTATTGTTTCTTCCTTCCTGTAAAATCAGCTAAAATGGGAAGACTGAAGTGCAAATTTCCATCACAACTTGAGAAATCTTCTGCACTCATCCACCCCCACTCTCTCTTCATGTGTGCCATTTATTTGTATAGATTCTTGCTTTCAACCAAAGGGGTTCAGTTCCAGAGAGACAAATCATGCACAGAGAAAAAAATTGCTTCCTAGACTTGAATATTTAGTGATGAGCTAAACCTTCCGAGAGGGGAAAAAATATGATTCTGTTGTGAAGGGGGAAATAAATGTCCTCCAAATCAATGTGAAAATGGAGACCTAGGGAAGTGAGGTTCACATCTGTCCTTAATGTGGCTCTGGAAGGATGGAGACAGAGACAATAAATGATATATCAGACATGGTGCTCTGCTTAGAAATTGCAATTCTAAATGTCATACGCCGTGAGCTTCTCTCACTCCCCCCATTATTCAAGACAATTCACAGGAGATAACTTCTTGACTCTGCCATAATAATATTCTTGAGCTTGTCTCCCAAATAAACAACATTGGTTTCTGCTTTAAGCAATACCTTCCCCATTTTCCCACACCACTTAAATCAACAACCCCTTTCTCTGTCTGATCTGAATCCCAAGCCCCCAGCCTTGTATTTTGCTACACATATGCTTCCCATTCTGAGTTTGTGTTCCTTATCTCCAGTGTTATTAAAGAGCAGCTCAGCATTGCCCGGTTTATACTGGAGTTTTTTGCCACTCTAGATAAAATGGGAATATTTTGTGTCTTCTTTTTTTTTGAATCACCTTCTTAATCTTTATCATAATCTCTTCGTTTTTTTGTTTTAAACCCGTGATTTTTGTGTCAATTTTTTTTCTATTTATTAATCTGCAGACTCCAATCCAGTCACCTCGTTACCAAAATGAGAAACCTGGTATTCACATCACTCAATGTGGTTGGTTTTGGAGCTTGGTGAAGACTAAAAACACAGAAAGACTTGCAAGTAGCCTAGAGGGAATAGAGAGGTTGCTATTAATGTGTTTCTTCATTGAACAGAGCTCATCTGTGCATTTGGAAATAAAGAGAAAGTGACTGTTGAAAGCCACTGAGAAAAGTGCTATCTGGGACATTTTATCTGAAGATTTTATAGAAAATGAAGAATGGCCCAAAGTAAAATGTGGCATCACAGTAATATTCTTATAATGCTGGATGCTTGGCTAAGAGTAGCAAGGGGAAAAAAATGCCTTTTGAAAGTGGGGTTGGCTCAGGGAAGAAGAAAATGCTCTGTAGAGAAATAGAAATGTCTATACTTTACGGGGCCCAGAACTACTTGGTATTTGCAGAACATTCAGGCTTTTGCATCCCTATGGGCCTTCAGAATTCTTCCTTTTCTTGCACAAATTAGCTATAGTGAGATGTCCCCAGAACTAGGCAACGAGGTCACCCTTTGAAGGTCAAGTATCCAAAAGTCAGAAAAGAATAAAGGAATTGAGCCATCTTCAGACGTGGCCAGGCCTCCAAGATGTTCTGTACTTGTGTGACTGAATGAACATTAAGAGTGGATATAGAATAGTTATAGATTCAAACAGTGTGTTTAGGATTTGTCTTTAGGACCAGAATCACAGAAATTGAAGAAAGAGTGTGTTTAATAGAATTAAAATAGTAGCTACTATAACAATAATCACACATTAGCACAAATACTGTGCTAAGTAGTTATAAACACTTTTTACTAGGCCTCACAACAGTCTAGAGATTCTTATCACTATTTTATAGATCAGCAAACTGTTTCAGAGAAGATGAGTGACATTTCCAAAGTCACACAGCTTGTCAGTGGTAGAGCAGGAAATCAAATCCATGTTGATTGCTGGTTTTCAAAACTTACTGTATGGAGGGAAACATTCTATATGTATTTTGGAAAAAGGAAGGGGAGCAAAACTTAAGTTCTGTGCAATGAAAGGAGATATTATTTTGCTAGACATGAATGTCAAGTAATCAGATCACCTAGGAGGTGGAGTCTATTGTGGGAAGAGAGAGGGTCTATCTGGCTTTGACACACCTGGAGAAATACCCCACTGGATCTTCCAGTTCCCTATGAACTCATGCTTACCAAGTCATCTTCCAACAGCTAAGTTAGCTTCCTATGTAATTGATAGACCCCAGTTACTGGACATGGATATCTGAATCTTTAAATAAATATGTTTATGTCTTGTTTCCGTATCATTGTCTCCAGAGTTGAGGAAGTCTGTCCAACCCACCAATGCAATTCCTTTAAGGACACTGTTGATCCACTGTCAGCACATTCAAGACCAAATTATGGCATAGGTGGGGAAGGCCCTGTATCTGAACAGTGGACCCACCTGCTCCTTTCCCTTCACGCTAGTCTGGCTTTGCTATACATTCTTTGTTCAAATCATCAAAATCCAGTTAGCTACACATTAACCACAATGATGATTACTATCATTACCTGAAGGCTTCATATGTGCCAGTTGCCGTGCTAGGCACATCATGAACTCTATATCTCATTGAAATCGCACAAGTCCCCTCTCAGATACTTTTGTTTTACTGGAAGTAGAGGCTTGGAGAGGTTGTCACACTGAATCTAAGCTGGGAAGCTGGGATTCCTGTCCAGATCTATATGCTCTTGGCCACTATGATGGGATGCCAGTTTTGACTTAATTACACCTTGTCAATCTGGGCCAGTCTTTTGCCTTTGGAACTAAAACTGTGGCTCCCTGAATAGAAACCTTTGTATCAGACTGCCAGAAGGGAACAGCCTCCCAGCTTGCCTGGTTCTCTGAGACTCTCCTATGGGGAAGTACCTCCAAGAGCCTGGTGAGCTCTGTGTATGTGGACATGTTTGAATTCCTGAACCTGTAAAATTGAGGATCAGACCTCAGGCTCCGGTGTTGACACCCATGGGGACCTGGTGTCCGTATAGAGTGTGGGGAGGCCAGAGGACATAGGAGAGAAGATTCTGTTTAAATGGTCAGCTCACATTCCTTTTTGACTTCTTTCTGTAACTACACTATCTTTCGTCTCATGTTTCCATAGATTCAAATCCTCGGGCACCAGCTGCTGCCATGTCATTGAAGGAGGCCTTGATAGGCTTCCCTTAAGGAGAAATGCATGATGAGCTATGATTTCTCCAATACCAAATTTATTATAAAGATGATCATTAATAGCAACCCCCTAGATTTATAAAGCACCTTTCTCCTAACAGTCTCTCTTGTAGAGGTTTTCTCATTTATCCTCACAGAACCTGAGGGATGGGGAGAAGGAAATATTACCATTTTTACATTATGGATTGCCATGATCTAGAAGCTTTTATTGCTATACCTATTTCCATGTGGAACTGTGTTAGGAACTACATAAAGAGAGCCCACAAATGCATCAGGTGTTTATTGAGGGTCTTTTATGTGCCCAAATAACTTTGGTATTATTATCCCATTGCACAGATGAAGGATGGAAGTCTCAGAGAAGTTAAGTGACTTGCTTAGCAGATAAGTGAGTAAAATATGGTTTCTGCTATCACCAAGAAGACAATATAATAAGTAGCTTTTATTGAGCATTTATGTGCTAGGCACTGTGCTAAAAAATACAGGAGTTATCTTTGGTAATTATTTTAAGAACTCTGCAAGTTTGTTGTACTATAACAAACTATAATTATCTCCATATTGCAGATGAGGCATAGAGAGATTGAGTAACTTACACTAAGCTACATAGCTGTTAAGTAGCTGACCTTGAGAGACAAAAAGCAGAAAGGAGCCAGATAGTTCAAGTTGGATTCCGGCTCCAGCAAATTTTATGTTACCCTGAGCCAGCTGCTTAACTTTTCTATTCCTGTTTCCTAACTTGTTGATGTGGTTTGGCTGTGTCCTCACCCAAATCTCACCTTGAATTGTGATAATCCCCACATGTCAACGTTGGTGCCAGGTGGAGATAATTGAATCATAGGGGCAGTTTCCTCCATATTGTTCTCATGGTAGTGCATAAGTCTCACAAGATCTGTTGGTTTTATCAATGGGTGTTCCCCTGCACAAGCTCTCTTGCCTGCCACCATGTAAGATGTGATTTTGCTCCTCATTTGCCTTTCGCCATGATTGTGAGTCCTCCCCAGCCATGTGGAACTGTGAGTCAATTAAACCTCTTTCCCTTATAAATTACCCAGTCTCAGCTATATTTATTAGCAGCATGAGGACAGACTAATACACTTGTGAATGGGAATAATAGAAGCATCTGCTTCATAGGATTGTTGTGATGATCAAATGCAATGATTTATGCAAAGCGCTTAGGACTGTGCCTTGCATATGTTGGCTGCCAGTGTCTGGGATTTTAATCCAGGCACTTGGACTCTAGAACCATTATGTTCTGCTGCAAAAATAATTCTCCCAGGTGCAGAAACAATAACATTTGAACTGAGTCTTCAAAGGACAGTCAGTGGCTTGGTTCTAGCAGTCTAGTTCTAGCTCAGTCAGGAGAGCCACATTTAATAATTCAGTTGTAAAGAGGTAGAGTCACCTTTTTCATCTCTTCATAATCGTCTCAAGTACTGGGACTTTGGGTCCTTAGCATCTCTGGATTTCTTCCATCCAGAAGACATTTAATGTATTTCCTTATAAGATACAGGGACATTCTGCCAGCCATGAAAGTAGTTATCTACGCCTTATTTATTGAAAGATTTTTCTTTTTTGAGGAAATGGCAAAATTGTACTTGACTGTGTGTTGACAAATTGATTTTTCTTTTAAGATTCAGCAATATGAACATAGACCAATCTCTCCACTTTTAAGACACACACATACATACACACACACACACACACACACACACACATCCCAGGAAATGCTGCATACCTTCAAGGAATGTAGTGGAACTACTACGTATGGAAAGCCTAAGCTTTGCCTTCAACTAAAATTTTCAACTAAATTTTTAAATATTCCTTAAAAAAGAACTAAAAATAGAACTACTGTTTGACCCAGCAATCCCACTGTTGGCCATCTACCCAAAGGAAAAGAAATCATTATATGAGAAAGACGCCTGCACTGTTCACAATAGCAAAGTCATGGAATCAACCTAAGTGCCCATCAATGGTTGACTGGATAAAGAAAATGTGGTATGCCATGGGATACTATGCAGCCATAAAAACAGAATAAAATAACATACTTTGTAGTAACAAGAATGGAGCTGAATGCCATTATCTAAGTGAAATAACTCAAACAGAAATATCAAATACCACATGTTCTCACATATAAGTGGGAGCTAAACAATGGGTACACATGGACATAAATAGAAACAATGGACATTGGGGACTCCAAAAGGAGGGAGATTGGGAAGGGGGTGAGGATTGAAAAATTACCTTGAGTACAATAGTCACTATTTTAGTGCTAAGTACACTAGAAGCCCAAACCACGCAATTATACAACATATCCGTTTAATAAAACTGCACAAGTTACCCCTGAATCTTAAAATCAAATTTCAAAAAGTATTCCTTTAAAAATACATTTGTCAAATATTTTGTTGGCAGGAATCCTTGAAACCTGTTTCAATAGACAAAGTCCTATTGTTTTCTAACACAATTAAACAGAAGTTTACTTGTATCGTGTGTATTGAAGCAAAATTATAACCTAAACTTATTATTTAGGGTAGGCAAATTTAGAAGCACTTGTCAAACTAGTAACAATGCAATAAGATAAAGAGTAAAAATAAGGGAAGTACAATTGATATTTGTATTGCAGAAAAGCCTTATATGGTATAGCTAGGCTATTTAAGTCCTAAGGTTTGTCACTTAGGCAAAGGTTATCATAAATGTATTTCCATTAAAGAATGGATATTAATAATTGTTGAGCATAGTTCAGTAAGATGGGCATGATTATTTCTAATAGATGGTGGGATTTAAAATTGTGAGATTCGATATTACTTTTCTAAGATGGTAAGACCAGGATTTGAACTTGAGTTGATTTGCAAATCTACACTTACTGTGCTATCTGTTATATTGCGTACTAAGCAGTACAGACCATGTTTGAACCCATGTCCCCTTATTTGACAGCCTATATGATTGTACAGCAGTTCATTGCTTTTCCATAAGTTTATCTATTTTGACTCTCTGAGCTTTATTCTTTGGAGATAGTCAATTGCTACATTTCCTTTATATGGAAGGCAGGCATCCAAGAGATGTAATTTGAAGCCAAGACTTTCATGCTCAATTTAGATCGTTTCTCTAATACATACCATTATGGTACAGATCTCTGCAAACTAAATAAAAATAATTCTAAGTTCCTACTCCGGACCTACTGGCTTACTCAATAGGTGATTCATCCATATTCTAATACAGCTAAACAAGAGGGACAGTCCATTGGATTTTTAAACATTTAATAATAGAACTTCCATACTCACACCCCTGCTGCTATGTAGAAATAAAAATCCTCATTTGATATATCTGTGTGTCGAAAGGTACAAGAGAGGCAGCATGTTATCTTCAAAAGAATACTGGAGGTCTGCCTTCTGCTCCTGCCTGGCTCAAGGGGATTTTGAAAATGGCCTGCTGTTTATGGAGTAGGAGTCAAAAAACACAGGTTTTATTGGCCCTGGATTTGCCAATTGGGCAAGTCTCTCAATTTCTCAGAGCCCCATTCCTTTGCTGGTAAAATGTGGTTGATCCTTTCTGCCCTGCCTGCCTCCCAGGGAGGTAATGAGGATCGAATGAGAGTGTGCACATGAAGGGCTGCACAAGCTTAAAATGTAATGATGATGCTGCTGGGAGGGGAGTCTCCTAATCTAACGAGGTGTGCTTGTCCTTCACGTACCCTCTCACCTTCCTCCCCCTTGCTTCCTGCTTCTTCATAGCATTTTCTCCCTTTCCTTTCCTCACTTTTATCCTCCGCCTCCTTTGCTCCCTCCTGCTGGAGTTTATGACCTAGGCTAATGAGACAAATATGGCTCCTCACATCAAGGGTGGGGAATTAAGGCCTGGTTATAGCCCAATTTAATTTTCATGATCTCTTGAACAAGTGAAGGAATGCTTGGGAAACAGGCTGCTCTTGGCCTGATGCCGGCCCAGCTCGAGTCGGGGCAGCCGTTACCCATACTAGCGCATCGCACTCCTGGTAGACATTTCAATTAAAAGTCATTACCCTTCCTTCCATGCCTGCCTCGGCAGAGGCTGCCGCCAGCCCTGGGTTTTAGTCCCAGCTCTTCCACTTAGCAAACAACCTTGAACGAGTCATTTAATTTCTCTAAGCCTTAATTTCCTTACTTATAAAATGGGGATATTAATGATATCTGTTTTGCTTTTCACACAGGACTGTTTTAGGGGCTGCATTAAATCAGGTGATTTCAGACTGGCAATTCTGTATTATGATTTTTTAATTAAATAACATGCCTGGGTGTTCATATTTTAAAAGAACTCTTTCAAGTCAGTATTTTCAAGGAATATTTTTGGATAGCGTATTTGCCTTTTCTAGCTCTCCTGTGATTATCTGAGATATAGAATAAGCACTTTTACAAGACTCTTAAGAAGTTTAATAAAGTTAAAATACTATATATTCCATATGTAGAGTGCTAAGTCTGAAAAGTAGATTCTTATAGAAGTTAGAATTCCATACAAACTTGCTATTTCTCTGCCCTGCAACCAGAGACATGGTGCATTTTCCTGATAATCATGAGAGCCTTGGAAACACCTTTATTCCCATCTTTAGTCAGTCTCCCATCTTTTCTGGAATTTTCCTGTGTTCATAGAATCTTGCAAATGGCTGGGTTCCCTCTCTGGAATCTGTCTCATGTTTTTTTCCTGGACACAGGCTGTAGCTCCCCAGTTGCTTGGCCAGTGTGCTCTTCACTTCTTGGGTACTGACCTGTTTCCTTTGTAGGCTGCTCTTTCTGCCAAGGGAAAGTTGCTGCAATTTTGTTTCTCCTCTTTCCTTTCTTGTACTAACTAAGGTTGAGGAGTCACTTTCTGTATCAACTAGGTCTTACCAGGACCTCTCTGTCCGCAAATCCTCAATATTGACCTCTGTTTATCAATAAAATATAGTTTTGTTAGAAATATTTTCTCTAAAAATTGGTTTCAATGATATCATTAATAAGTTCTTCTCCTCTTCCTGTCCTCTAAATGCTTGCATGTCCCAGCACCCTGTCTTCAGCCCTTTTTTAATGTGTATTTACTTGCTGCATTATTTCTTCAGTCCAAATCCTCCATAATTGAGGTAAGGGGATTCGGGGAATATGGTGATGTAAACATAACTCACTTTCCCTCCCTTCTGATTCCAAGAAAATTTGCTTTTTCTGAGCCAAGTATGAACCAAGATCTTTCAGTAACTGGTATAGCTAGGGTTGCAGGCTCTTTTAACTTCCCTGAAAGGGAAATGAATGGGACTTCTTCTAAGTGCTGGGCACTCACCCAGGGAGCAGCATCAGAGATTAAGTAGCATCAGAGATTAAGGATGACGATAGGAGAGTGCTGGGTCAGGAGGAGCCTTTGGACCCTAAAGGAAATCTAATGCTAATCCATGAGGGTGTGCTAATTTCCTTAACCTACAAAAGACCAAAAAGGAATTGAAAGAGCTGGTAAAATTTTTCCCTCTTTCCAGGTTGGAAGAGTTCTGGTAGAACTAAATTTTTCCCTCTTTCCAGGCTGGAAGAGTTCTGGTAGAACTGATACTGAAGAGGCTACCCTAGCAGCCTTAGGGTGGTGGCTGATACCCTGCCCTTAAACCACCGGCCTACAGGATAAAAGATACCTCAACCTTTTATTTCTCTCAGAGTCCCATCATTAAGAATATCTTAGCATTTAGACTTGATAGGCCCCAACAGTCGGAGAAGAGGAAAAGAGGAGAAGAGAATCACATTGAGCAATTAGGGCACAAACTTGGTGAAATAGAGCTACTGGGGGAGATGTCTGACTATCTGAGTGGAGAAAGGATGAGGGAAGAAACAAAATACAATATAGCCCTATTGGAACTTGATAACTACTTGATTTTTGAGCTAAAATCTTTGCTATTTGAGAATGATCAATTTGAGGTCCAAATTTGTGATATGAAGAAGTAAGTACAAGAATATCTAATCTAATGTCTTGTAAATACAAGAATATCTAGTGTAGTAGTGTGATCATGGCTCACTGCAGCCTTGACCTCCCGGACTCAGGTGATCCTCCCACTTTAGCATCCTGGATGGCTGTGACTACAGGCACATATCACCATACCTGGCAAACTTTTTTTTTTTTTTTTTGTAGAGATGAGGTTTTGCCATGTGGCCCAGCTAGTCTCAAACTCCTGGGCTTAAGTGATCTTCTGCTGTGGGCTCTCAAAGTGCTGGGATTACAGGCATGAGCCACTGTGCCAGGCAAGAAACATGTATTTGATCTCTTCCCTCAGTTCTAGTATTTCATCTTCGACCTTGGTTCCTGACACAGAGCTCCTAAGATCTTTGTAATTTCCTACGTGTTAAGAGTGTCTGACAGAGCTCTGAAATCTCGGAATTCCCTGGGCAATGGGAGCATCTTTTGTTTTGATGTGACTTGGTGGGCTTCTGGATAGCCTCAGAATGGGGTCTGGTTTTCAGGCGAACCAACCAAGTTATTAGAGGGTTGAAAGTTTCAGCCCCACTTCTGACCTTCAAGAAGCAAAGAGGAGGTTGAAGAGGAGTTGATCACCAATGGCCTATGTAATGAAACCTCTATAAAAAACCCAAAAGGATGGGGGTTTGGAGGAGCTTCCAGATAGCTGAACGTGTTGAGGTTCCTGGAGGTTGGTGAGCCTGGAGAGGGCATGGAAGCCCTGTGCCCCTTCCCACATGCTTGCTCTATGTGTTTCTTCATAATAGTCTTTGTGATAATGGGTGAACAAAAGTAAAACGTTTCCCTGAGTTCTGTGAGCTGCTTTAGCAAATTAATTGAACCGAAGAAGAGAGAACTTAGCCTGCTGGGATTTGGTATTAGGCCAATCAGAGAGGTAAAGGAGCATCCACGCTGAGCTCAGGATCCAAGGGCTCCCATCTGAGAAGGATGGGGCAGCAGGAGTCTTCAGTCACAACATGGCCAGATTGTGCATCCTTATTGTGTTCTTTTTAGTCTGGAATAGACCAGTCATTCAATTAATAAGAACCCAAATGTATAGCTGGTTGGTCAGAAGCAGAGGTTGCTGGAGAAGTATCTCTTGGTAGAATGTGACAGAATTGAACTAAATTGTCGGATACCCATATGGTGCCCACCGGAGAACTGATTGCTTGGTGTGTGAGGAGGAATCTCCACATGTCTGGTGTCAGAAGTGCTGTGTTGAGTGACTGTGTGAGAATAGAGAGGAAAAGTGGTTTGTTTTCCTTAGACTTCCAGTCTGGGATCTCTGTTCCTTTTGTTCCCACATAGTGTGTTCTTTACACAAAATCCAGATGGACCTTTAAAATAACTCAATTAGTTTTTGTCACTCCCTGTTCCCAAACCTTCTTGTGATTTCCCATTATATTAAAAATCCAAATTCCTTACTATGACCTGAAAAACCTTGCAGGCTCTGGTTGCCCCTTCTTCAGTTATCTCTAGCTCCCTGTTTTCCACCACTTTACTCCACCCACATCAACTTTTTTGTTTCTAATCACTCCAGTGTATTCCCACTTCAGGGCCATTGCACTCACTATTTCCTTTGCCTTTAACTCAAGTCCACCAGAGTGTTAGTGCAATCTGGGTATAATTTACTACCAAACTCATGTAATTTATTTTCCCAACTGGGATAATTTTGGGTGTATAATGAGTTGTTATTAACGATTGTGTCAGGAAATGATAGTAAACTGTAACTATTCCAGGCATAAATGGTCATCCTAAGATATTCTCATGGCCTGATCCCTTACTTCTTTTAGGTCTTTTGTCAAGCATTATCCTCTTAGAAAGGTCTTCGTTTGCCACTCTATTTAAAATAAACACTTGCTTCCATCTGTATCTCTAGATTTCCCTGACTTTCCTTTATTTTTCTTCATAGCATCTGATATTTCTTGAATTATGTGACACTTTATGTGAGCTCTTGTTTACTTAGTTAATGTCTGCCTCTTTCCCAAAATGTAGGTCTAATGGGGAAGGGCCTTGTCTGTTTGCTCACCACTGTAACTTTGCTGTCAAGAGCACATAGTAGATGCTCAATAAATTTTTGCTGAATGCATGAGTGAGTATTGATCCTGGTCAAAGCCCTTGCTGAAGGCCATTGCCTTGATCCCTTCCTGCCTCATCCTGGGTGAACTCAGCATGTTGGGACTCAGTGTCCAGCCAGTCAGAGAATCAAGAGAGCATCCAGGCTGAGCTCAGGATTCAAGGCCCCTATCTGAGATGGGTGGGGAAGCAGGAACATTCAGGCATAATATGGTCAGATTATGTGTCAATATTGTGTTGTGTTCATGTGTGTTCTTTTCAGTTTGGAATAGAAAACCAGGCAGTGGTTGATGGCCAGAGAGCAAAGTTTAGCTGCCTCCAGGAGAGGAATTTGACTGATCAGGGTGACGCAGGGTACCATGCCTCAGCCATTCTGCTGGGGTTCAGGGATGGCTTCCAGGCTCAGTGTCAGGGGACCTGGATTGTAAAGTCAGGATGTCTGGTGAGGCAGGGTTTGTTAGGTTAGTGTGATCCTGAGGATGATTGATTTCCAAGCTAGGATATATTCTTTTGACTTTCTGACATTTCTTTCTTCTTGGTGCTCATAGTAGGATTTATGGAAAATTATTTCTATGACTCGTAAAGCTAGAGCTGGGGGAAGGTCATGTCACCAGAGTTGAATAAAGTGGTGAAACTAAAAAATAGCTTTAGCCTAGAAACTGGAAAATGGAAAAAATTCTTAGTGACTTGAAAATCAGAAGCTTTATGTTCTATACCAGTTCTGATACTAAACTATTGGTCATTTCAGGGTACCATTTTATTTTTTCATCTAGGAATGAGCAGGATGGGCACGTTAATCTTAAAGGATCCTTTCAATTCTGAGCAAAAATCAACAACTGATTATTTTCAAATCAGTAAGCATTTATCAAGAATCCTGTATGTGCTGGGGACTGTACTAGGTTCTGGATAAGTAGAAGTAAATAAATTGTAGTCTAAGTGAACTTGCAGGTAAATGAGCACCTAGGCACCGTGCCAGAGTTTCTTACCCAGCTTTATGGAACATAGTTGAAGGAGCAAGTTAATTCTGCCTATTGCAGTCAGGGGAAAATACAGGAAGAGGTGCTGTTTAAGTTGAAAATATTAAGGAATAATTTGATGGAGAGGGCAGGAAGAACAATTCTGGGAGAGTAATGAACATAGGCAGCATCAGAGAAGCATAATGGCCATGGTAAATCAGGGAACATATTTCAGTTCAGTGTGGAATAAAAGTTTGTGAAGGTCAGATTGACAAAGAATGGAAGGCCAATATTTTTTTCTTTAGTCGCTTGTAGTTTATCAATTAGGAATGTTTTAGGCTGCAAGTAACAGCCTACTTAAACAATAAAGACATTATATTTTCTCCTAGAGCAAGAAGTCTAGAGATAGTTCATTCTAGTTTGGTGCAGCATCTTAACAATGTCTTCAGACTCAAGAGCTTCCTATTTTTTTTCTCTTGAATCTTCATCATGCTGACGTTCATTTTTAGTTTTTTTGCTTCATGGTCATGTATAGTTAATGTAATGTTAGCTGATGTACTGGATAACTCCCTCAATTCTAAGTGTCTTAATACAACAAAAGTTTATATCTCTCTTCTATAAAATTTGTAATTGGTTTCCTGATAAGTAGATGGTTTTTCTTTTTTCTATTTTATTTTTTTATCATTATACTTTAAGTTCTAGGGTACATGCGCACAGTATGCAGGTTTGTTACATAGGTATACATGTGCCATGTTGGTGTGCTGCACCCATTAACTCATCATTTACGTTAGGTATATCTCCTAATGTTATCCCTCCCCACTCCCCCTACCCCACAACAGGCCCCAGTGTGTGATGTTCCCCTTCCTGTGTCCATGTGTTCTCATTGTTCAATTCCCACCTATGAGTGAGAACATGCAGTGTTTGGTTTTTTGTCCTTGCGATAGTTTGCTGAGAATGATGGTTTCCAGCTTCATCCATGTCCCTACAGAGGACATGAACTCATCATTTTTTATGGCTGCATAGTATTCCATGGTGTATATGTGCCACATTTTCTTAATCCAGTCTATCATTGTTGGACATTTGGGTTGGTTCCAAGTCTTTGCTATTGTGAATAGTGCCGCAATAAAAATACGTGTGCATGTGTCTTTATAGCAGCATGATTTATAGTCCTTTGGGTGTATACCCATAATGGGATGGCTGGGTCAAATGGTATTTCTGGTTCTAGATCCTTGAGGAATCGCCACACTGTCTTCCACAATGGTTGAACTAGTTTACAGTCCCACCAACAGTGTAAAAGTGTTCCTATTTCTCCACAACCTCTCCAGCACCTGTTGTTTCCTGACTTTTTAATGATCGCCATTCTAACTGGTGTGAGATGGTATCTCATTGTGGTTTTGATTTGTATTTCTCTGGCCAGTGATGATGAGCATTTTTTCATGTGTCTATTGGCTGCATAAATGTCTTCTTTTAAGAAGTGTCTGTTCATATCTTTTGCCCACTTTTTGATGGGGTTGTTTGTTTTTTTCTTGTAAATTTGTTTGAGTTCTTTGTAAATTCTGGATATTAGCCCTTTGTCAGACGAGTAGATTGCAAAAATTTTCTCCCATGTTGTAGATTGCCTGTTCACTCTGATGGCAGTTTCTTTTGGCTTTTCTTCAAGTAGTTTTCATCTTCTTATTTACCAGCTTCAATATATCTTCCAAAATTTCCAAGACACTGTTCAAGCTGGGAGGGGAAATAATATAAGGACCATGCATGAGAGCTTTTTCCATGTTAGCCCTGGGAGTGTTGTACAGTACTCTACTCCATATTCCATTGACTAGAATTCAGTTATACTTAACTGCAAGGGGAAATGGAAAATAATGAGTATCAACGCACATTGGAAGAAGAGAAAGTAAGTTGACTGATAAGCAAGCAGTCTCTACCATAGGTTACAATATGGATAATGAAGCTTTAAACATCACCTCCTACAAAATTGTTTTCCAGGGAGGAGGAAAGGGGAACAGGGAGAGCCAGAAAGCTTTCCTCTTGAGTTTGTATGAATTTTTGGGGGAAATTTTCTAGAAGACTTCTCCTTACACGTTCCTAATCAAAACTATGTCACATACTCACCCTCAGCCAGATACAGTGAGGCTGGAACAGTAAGCATCTGAATGGGAATGACTGACATACAGCATCTTGAATAATATTTTGGAGTTTGGGAGGAATTTACTTGTTTTGTGAAAGGGCTGTATTATATGCAAAGTGTCCCCCAAACACCAAAGAAGTCAAGAAACCAAAGACAAATCCGGTTTGTTGGTATGAAGATTTTATGGGAGAACTTATGGACAGCAGTGTGATCTTGGATGGCTGTCTGAGACAGGTAGATTTTCTGTGCTGCTACCCCAAGACCCAGGACTTATTAACCACAGGAAAAGGGTTTTTTTCCACTTCAGAGGGAATGTGTAGGAGAATTTGATTAAGGGCAGAATTTATGGCAAGTATGTTCTCTTACACAAGGAACAACAGATAAACTGGAAATTTTAGAGGCATTCCTGGTACTGGTGTTAAGAAGAAGTCAACATGGTGGTTTGGCATTGAAGATGGAATTGCTTTAGGTTCCACAATACTTTTCCTGAACACATTAAATCTTTCCAATTCTTGAAGAGAATCAGGGTTTGGTTAGCCAGGAAGAAGGGGAAAAATGATGGTTGAGTCATCAACCAAAAGTGTCTACCAAGGAAGCCAAGGCAGATTTTTTGAACACAGGAGTGACATGACTGAATTTGTGGTTTAGGATGGTTGCACTGGAAAATAGATTGCCAGAGTCTTCCTATCCTGAGGCATGGGCACCAGTGCGTCCCAGGGAAGTGTTAAATTCTAATAAGGTCAGAGAAAATCTTACAGAGCACTCAACGAAGTGGATGTCTCAAAACTTTTACCTTGTGAAGAAATATCCAAATCTTTGATTCCGGAAATAAAATTTCTTTTTGAATAATTAAAGCCTGTGTCAAGGAGATTGATGGTCCAGGAAAATGTTTTAAATTTTTTTCATGAAAAAAATGTTTCCTTCCCTTTTAAACCTTGGATATCTTTATTTCTCACAGTAACTGGGGTGTTCAGCTATGAATATTCTTTACTATCCACAAATGAATGGTACCATATTTAGACCATAATATGACTGGCTTTGCACTCATTAGAATGGCTTCTAACAACTGCATGTGTGACTTGGATCAGAATGACGTTACCTGTGGAGTTGACCAACCTTTTGGTTTTTTAAGGGTGGAGATTACTGAGACAGAAAGAATGTAATCTGCAGTCAAAGAAAATATGAGATATAAACAAGTGCAGAACATAATAAAATAACTAGGCATAAAATCGTTTATTAATGTACGATTTGGACACATTATTTAAATTCTGGGAGCCTCAGTGATGCCCCAAGGATCACATAGGATGATGAGTTAGTGCTCATCAAATATCCATGTCACCTTCTACATTCAATACCCACCTTGCAGTTAGGTTTGGACCACATGACTGACTAATTCAAGACAATAGAATGTGAGCAGAACTGATGTTGGTCACCTTGGGTCAAGGCCAGTTAGAATCAATATGTTTCCTCTCTCTCTCTTTTCTCCTTCTGTGCTGACTTTGATGCAATGTGTTCCAGATGGCAGAGCTACGAGATGGAGGAGGGCCACTGGCCCAACTCTCCATGAGCAAGAAATAATCCTATCCAGGTAACACAGGCAAGAAAATGCTTTGTAAATGGTAGTCACTATTACTGGTGCTATTGTAATTTTAAAAACAGGTAACATTTTCACTCCTACCTCAGCTCATAAGAGTTAATCCTCAACTGGTTTAGTTAGGTTCCACTTTGCTTAGAGAACAAGGCTTTCCTTTCAAGCCTTTATCCCTGTACAAGGTGTCCAAGGCCTCTACCATTTACTCAGGGAGCTTACAAATATCTTGGACAATGTTACAGGTATCTTGAGGCCCACCTGGCCCTCGAGTTGACAGGTGCTGCTTCTCCCTGATACTTAGCTCCCTCCACTCCTTCCTTTCCAATTTCAGTCCCTCCTCTGATTTCTCATCACTCTTTCTCCGTCCTCAGGCAAGGACAACCTTTAAAAGTATAAATGCATATATACAGAAATTTCTGTCTCATATTTAGATCAGGTTTGGTATGTTTTTTGCACTTTTATTTGTGTTGGTGAGGGCAGAGTAGGGGAAAAATGGCCTTTTTTTCCCTACTAAGCTAAGAATGAGGACAGCTAAGAATGAGGGAGCAGAGGAGCAGAGAAATGTACTAAAACACGTAGATTATGAATTTTAATTAAACCTATGTTATTTTTATTTATATGACTATTAATGATAAATGAAACAGGCTGCTGAGATTTGATGTTACATAACAAGAAGGGAATTCACAAAAGTAATAATTCTTGAGAAATTTAGTATGGCATGCAGTCATCCTGAACCACCAACACACTTATCTACTTCTATCAGAAGTAAACAGTAAGTAATATTTAGGTGAGCATAAATGCCAACACAAATCAGGAAGCAGAGCAATCAACAGTTTCTAGAAAAGATTTCTAAAGTTCCCTACAATTTATTGCCTTCTCTTAATCTCATTTGTGATAGGCATCTTCTGACATTGTCCCAGTGTCCTTGTTTCCTGGCACACATGCCCTTGTGTATTCCTCCCCCTTCTTGAGTATGGGGTAGTCTAGTGACTTGCTTCTAATCAATAGAATGTGACAAAAGTGACAGTATGTCACTTTCAATATTGTGTTATAAAAGATTGTGACTATCAAGAAGATGATAGTTAACACTCTCTCCCCGACCCCCTTGTTTGCCCACCCTCATGAAGTTAGTTTCTACAGAGAGAGCCCCACATGTGGTACTGGAGACACAAATATGGGGAAGACTAATTCCCTTCTTTTGGAGAGTGTGTAATCTATAGGAACAATATAACTCATGTTTTAACAGAGACATGTACAAAGGGTGGTGGCAACACAGATGAAGGAGGAATTGAAATGATCAATAAATATTGTCAATAGCTAAAGCAATCAATGTACATTTTCAGAAGATGATATAGTACAAAGCAGACTGTCTGTGTATCCTAATACAGAGGTGGAACATCAGGGAATTGCAGATAGAGAGTCTGAGACCTGACCATTAACATTTCAGCTCTGGTCCAAGAAAGTGACCAACTGAACAGAAGCGACGTGGATCACCTTGGGAAATGCAAGTGACCAAGATTATTAAACAGAACACAGTGACATCAGACACAGGGATCTAAATAAAACTCAGATGAGGACTTTGCTCTAAGCTACTCCTGGCTGAGGATTTCCCCAGTGGTTATTGAGGGTGATTTGAAACTTACCAGCAGGCCCTTCTATAGGAAATCCTGCCTATTATTTTCTGTTACTGTATATTTTACAGCTAAATTCTCAAACAATATTTGTAAAGCACTATCACCTACCTTTAGAAATGGTTTACTAAAGTAAAACACACAGAAAAGTATGCAAATCATAAATGTATAGCTTGATGGATTTTCGCAAAAGAAACACAACCATGTGACCTGCACCCAGCTAAAGAAAGAAATTGCCAGGAGCTATCTTAACGCTCCTTTTGAGTCCTTTTTTCAAGTTAAAAAAAATTCTAAAATAATTTTAGACTAATAGAAAAGTTGCAAAGATAGCATAGAGAGTTCCTATATGCCCTTCACTCTGTTTATTCTAATGTTAACAACTAATAGGATCATAACAAAATTATCAAAGGGACACAGGAATCAACTTGGACTAGCACCAGTGAAATCTTGGATGCTTTAAGCAACAACGATAAGAACAACAAATAAAGCAATGGAATGTGACATATAGATTAAAATAAATTTTAGTGAGTCACACATATAAATAATTGAAGAAAATAGAAAGGACTGCCCTTTTTTAAAGTAGAATTTGAGTTAAGTGTATTAGGAATGCTGAAAATAGAAGATAATCATTAGGCAAACACCACACTAACAATTGTGTCAGGAAGAATCATTGATAGATGGTAAAAGTAGTTGGCAGGAGCATGATGAGAAACAGAATATTTGCATAATCTCAAAGTATTTGTCTGTAAGAAATACTTAACAAATATCTTAATAATTAATAAGATATTTATTAATGGAAAAATAGCAGGTTTCCAAGCAGAGAAACCTGACAGACACTACCTTAATCTAGTAGGAGAAATGAGCATCACCAATAATAAGATGCACTTAATTCATATACTTCCTGATATGATGCACTTGAGACGGGCACAGCATCACTTCTGCAATATTCTTGCCTAAAATATATAACTTCAATGTAATCATCAAAAACATTATACAAACTGAAAATGGGGGACATTCTGCCAGACCTCTTTAAAAGTGCCAGGATTGTGAAAGACAAAGATTGAAGAACTGTCCCAGACTGGAGGAGTCTAAGGAGACATGACAACTTAATGCAACATGAGATTAGACCCTGGACCAGAGAAAGTAACAGTAGTGAGGAGACTTGTGAAATCCAAGTAAGGTCTACAGATTAGTTAATAGTAAATTAATTTAATTTTTCTTTTTAATTTTTTAAAACATGAAAGAGTAGCAACAGTTAATACATATATACTACCTGCTTTGTGCCAGATTCCACTGTAAGTGCTTTCCATGTATTCATCATCATTGTCATTTTGTAAATGAAGAAACTGGGGCATAGATGGATGAGACTCTGTTCAGCTAGAGTTACACAGCTGATGGGCAGCAGAGCAGGGATCAGTGCTGGGCTTTGTGGCTTCCAGAATCCATGGTTAACCTCTCTGTTTACAGCCTTTCTAGTGTAGTTTCTTTAGGGATCATACAGGGCCCATTTCTGGGCCCTGGACTCCTGAGCAAACAGACCAAAACAAGCAGCACTTCCCCACTGTCTTCACAGTGGGTCTGGAACCAAGGCCTTCCTTCCTGGCTGGTATGCACCTTACAAAGGCATTTTTTTCCCCCTGAGATTCTAAAATAGAAGCTCAGGGCTCTGTCTTCCCACAGAAAATATCGACATCTATATTTATCCCTTTTCCAGAAGCTGAGGAGACCTAGTTCATGCTAATTGCAGTTTACCAAACAAGCTGATTCTTAACCCCATGAATATTTTTGCCATTGAAAGCGCCTACAACTTGTGAAAACGAACAAATGGCAAACTGCTCTGCTCTTTTCACTTCCCACACACGATTATATTTTGTTGCCTATTAAGTCTGCAGTTGCACCACAGGCATCATGGAGACATGACCAAGGATCCCAGCAACCCCCAATCTGGGCACAGCATGGACTTGAGGTTAGTTCGTACACACATTTTAGTCTTGGAAGAACATGGCCAGACACTGCTAGAAATTAGGTACTCAGGTGATCCTTAGGCCAGTAACTCAGGATTTACTTATTTACTTATTTTTTTCTATATTTTAAACACTATTTAAAAATCTTTTTATAATTACAAATAGCAGAAGGACTAGAATAATGAACACACATCTGTCCATCATCTGGATCCAACAATTGTTAACATTTGGTGAAACATACTTCAGATACACACTGCTGGCATGCACACACTCATACCTATGCAGTCACATGCCACATAAGGACATTTTAGCCAACAACGCATATATGATGGTGGTCCTAAAAGATTATAATACCATAATTTTACTGTACCTTTTCTATGTTTAGACATGTTTGGATACACAAATGCTTAGCATTGTTATAATTGGCTACAGTATTCAGTACAGTAACATGCTGTACAGGTTTGTAGACTAGGAACATTAGGCCATACCATCTATGTCTGTGTAAGTACATTCTGTGATATTCGTAAGGCAACGAAATTACCTAATGATGTGCTTCTCAGAATGTATCCCCATCATTAAGCAATGCATGACTGTATTTATTTCAGTATCTTCTATTTCAAAGGAAACTACAAATTCTATGTAATAGAGGCTTAAATGGGGCAGAATGTTTCTGGATCTATATACCAGAGATGACTTTAGGACCACTCTTTTTTTGGAGGGGCGGGGAGGGTGGGCAGGGTTAAGAAGATATTCAGGATTGAGCAGCATTGATAAGCCAACAGGGTAGAGTGATAACGATGGGGTTTAACATTCATTATGGAATCTTAGAAAGTCATTGCTGAAAGCTCTGTTGCAAAGCCTCCTTTCCTCTCTTTTCTCCCCTCTACCTTGTGTTTTAGTTAAATTGGTTTACTTGATTAACCACCAGAGCACATACTCTGTACTTCCCCACCCTTGTCTTTGTGATTTCCCCTTCATTTGTGCCTTCTTTTTCTATTTACCACCACTTTTCTCCTATCTTTACCTACCCAAATCTTTTCCAAGACCTGACCCAGTGGTATCTTCTTCCAAAACATACTTCTCCTCTTTAAATGTATGTTACCCACAATATGGAAACATTATTTCCCTGCTTTGAGCTCCTATGCATTTTATCTGTAGTACTTCTGTAGCCTTTATCACTTTTCATTTTTCTTCTTACCTGGTTATGTGCATAACATATCTTCGCCTCTAGATTATATGTTTCTAGAGAGTAGCTACCATACCTTATTATCTTTATATTTTTCAGTGTCTTGTACCTAATAGTGCTTTATTACTGTTTGTTTTGTGTGTGTGCCCAAAGGTCCTATCATGATTGCCTAGCTCATTAATGTCCAGAAATTCATGTGGCCAACTTTTCCAGTGTATCATTTTCTGGTTTGAATGGCTGGAGAAAGGAGAGGATCAAGGCTCATTTAAAGGCTGGGGTCCTCTGGGACGGCCACAGTGGGTGCCATTGCCCCCTAGCACAGTAGAGGTCATTGTGATGCTGCTATCATGTCTCCATTGGAGGAGTGAGGGTGAAAATACCAGTGTGTTCCTTCAAGGGCCTGGAGCGCTGACAGATAGAAAAGATTTCTGGTCCTCTCTGACAAGCTAGATTCTCAATACAAGTAGAAATAAAAAGGAGCAAAAGAGACCAATTCACACAATACTTCCTTCTTTATTCAGATAAGATACACTTTACATGCTTTACGAGGTTAATGTCCCCTGCTCCTGATTACAAAAATCTGATTGGCATATTAATTAAGTTATAAAAGTGAGAGAAGGAAGAACCACAAAAGAGGTGGCAGCTGCTCTTTTGCTGCTGAATCCATTCAGGATATAAAATTTTGCTGAGATATTTATTGTAAAATAGTTTTTTTTTTTTCCCCTCCTGTTGCTTTTATTTTTAGCCGGCGTTACCCCAGCATCTGTTCCACCTCGTGTGAGAAATGTGTTGAAATGGGAGGGCGAGAGGAATGTACTTAAAAAAAAATTGGGAAGGCTTCTGCAGAGTGTGAGAGGAGAGGCAACACATCCTACTCTAATCAAAGTCTGAGACTCCTGGGAGGAAGTCGCTTTCCTCCTCTTGACACTCATATTTTCAGATCCCAGAGTTTTAAGAGACATCTGGGAAAAACTCAGATTTTGTCAGCAACATCCCTACTAAGTGCTTGCCCAACTGTTGCTTGAGTGCTTTCAATGATGGGAAATTCATGACCTTCAAAAGCATCTTTAAAGGAGAAAATACAACAGACCGGTCTTCAGGATCTTGTTTGTAAGGAACAAAGAGACACCATAGGAGCCAGTTTTGGAGTCATGGGGAGCCAGCCCTTCATTGGCTGGTGGAGTTTCATGTCCTCATCAATTAAAGAATTCTTCCTCATTCATAGATAAAGCTTCTACTCCTTGTTTCTCCTTTGGTCTACTGACCCATGTATGACAAATCTATTGCCTATTCAAATGTTTAAAGCCTGGTTTCTCTCCTAAGAGTTCTGTTCTTCAAGTTAAATTTCCCAGTCGTTTCATGAGTTCCTTTGAAGGCATGTTTTTGAGCACTTTGCCTTTCTAGTTATTCTTGCCCTAACCATCTGAATCTACTAAAGATATGAGTTCCTGATTTGAATTTATTGTCTACTTGAAGGGATACTTACTTTGCAGGTGTAGGGAAGGAAAGAGGTTCTGACATCTTATTCTGTTTTTTATTACCTCTTACCTCAAGTCAGCATTAATCAATTGATAACCTAGGCTTTGGCTTGCAGGTTATCAGATCTTGTTACTAAAAGGAGTTGATTTGTTCTATAAGGAAAACATCATGTAACATAGGGGCTGAAATTTTAGGCCTTCAGTTAAAGCACTAGTTTATGAAGATATGTATTCTGATTCTTGCAGAAAATAGTTTATGATAGATTACAAGTTAGGCCACATAAAATGGGATACAATTTGGGGAAAAAAAAATTTGGAGAAAATGAAGTTATTGAATTAAAATCCTGAGATAAATCACTGGAATTGGGCATTAAACAGTGTCCAAGTGTCCCAATAAAGACAAAAATAAAAATATAGTAAGTCTTTTGGTTTTTCTCTGTTAGAAGAAAATGTTTCTTTTGGATGAACACATTTTGTCCTACAAAGAATGTACCACATAATAAATCCATTTATTTATATTCCATCTCATTCCTTCTGAAAGTATGCCACGTGGTGCTAGGGATCATGCCTCTCTTGTTCAGTGTCCCATCCCGCCCGCTGAAGATAGTGTTGGCACTTACAGACACTCGTAATGTTTTTTGACAAGATTCCATAAAAAAGATTTGAGGCTGTTGACTGTAAAATCACTTGCAATAAAACATTATATGATAAAAATTAATCATAATAAGAACCAGAAAAATAAGTAATACATGAAGTTTAGTGATGGAACATAAGCTGAGTTACTGTGAGAGTCAAAGGATTTTGACTGTAGGTGAACCTCATATTTGACACCGAGCTTGTGGTGGTAAGAGTGGAAAAGAAGATATAATCAGCATCATGAATCTGATGCCTGAAATAGAAAAGTATTTCACTTACTTGCAGGAAGCAAAAGTTTTCCTACATATTTTGAGAGACATTTCTCATGTAGAAACCTATGGAGGGTTTGGGGGGCCATGCTTTTAGCAACATTCCCATTGCAAATACAGTTAAAGGCTGTCCCTCATAGCATCCAGAGATGAGAGCAGAGGGACCACGGTGACATGTAACTCTCACAGTGAAGGCAAATGGGTGCCTCCTCCCATGCATTCTCACAGAGGGATGCTAAGAAGTGTAGGAGATGGGTTTGAGTTTTGCTTTTGCAGATGTTTCCACTTGGTCACTGTGAATTCAAAACAAAGTCAAGCTTGGCACCTAGAAGAAGGAGGGAAGACCACTAGAATTGATCAGGGGCCATTATTGGGTACTCCCTTACTCTGCTGGTGATTTTCACCCTGAATCACCCTATAATGCAGGTAAACTTGTTTTAATGAATCCTGAAGGGTCCATCAACTTGAGTTAATGGTAAATTATGTCCCCAGGGAACTGAGGGAAACAACAAGATTGATGTTGTCTTAGTTTGGGTTTCCCTGAAATCAGACTCCAAAACAAGCCCTTGAGTGTGGTGGTTTGTTGAGGAGGCCATCCCAGGAAGCTCAACTGAGGAAATGGGGAATGTGAGATAGGGAAGGAAGCAAACCCAATAGTCTTATTAGCGATTGGTTTGCCCTCTAGGTGGAGAATATTGACTTGATTTTTACCTCTTTGAGACTTTTCAAAAATTCTCCAGCCTATTGTGTTTTTGCCTTCCCTCGTTCCCATTGCATATAATGTGACTGGCACTCCTGTATCACCAACCATATCACGTGGTGTCTCAGCATTTGTGATACAGATGTTTTTTTCTACTAGAAATTGAGTTCCTTGAAAAAAGTAATAACTGCATTTCAATTTTTTTGCTCTGGCACACAATAAGCAAAAATATTTGTTGATTGTATTCATGTGGACCTCCCACCATCAAGTGGAGCAATCACATCCTTGAGAATCCATTGCCCAGTTCTCTTCTGTGTGGCTGGACCTGACCTGGCAAAACAAATTCTTTGATAAAGGGTCAGCAGGAATGTCTCTCTTCTTTTGTGAGTAATACCACCAGAAGTGATTTTAGATTTTTGTTGCTATAGAAACCTCAGAAAGTACATTACCTTCAATGCAAAGGCATCTTATTCCTTAAAAATTTCATGTTTGAATGATTTAAATGCAGGTCCCAGCTGGGTGATTAAATGCTTCATGTGAGGGAAGCAGTATAATGTAGTGGTTAAATGTGTAGTAGGCTTTAGCTTCAGACTGCCTGGGTTCAACTGCTGGCTCCATCACTTAATAACTGTGTGACCTTGAACAAGTCAGATGAAGAAATTGATGCTCAGAGATAGTATGTAGCTTTCCCAAGAATTCACAGCTCCACTACTTAAAACTTTACATGGTAGTTAATATTAGCTACAGAAACTTGTCCAAGGTCATACTACTAGTAAGTGATTAAGTCAGAATTTGAACAAGGAAAAAGAAAATAATGCCACCCTCTCTTTTCCATTTCTTATTTTTTTTTGGAAGAAAAGTTCATATGGACTCTTATTGAAAAGGAGTTTAATTACATTACTGTATGAACTGAGAGTCTATTTCTAGTAACAGGCAATAGCTTGTTGTATCACTGTGCTTCAACAATATAATCCCTCCTAAAATAGAATCATTTTTGTTTGTTTTAATAGAAACCACTTATTGGGTGCCTACTACATACCATGTTCCAAATCAACATAATTTATAATCCTCAAAATAATCCTGCAAAGTAAATTTCATTGTCTTAGTCGAGTTTTCCTACAGGCAGGCCCTGAGAGAACGATTCAAATTCAAGTACAGTTGCACTTTTAACAACACGGGTTTGAACTATACCAGTCCACTTATGGATTTTTTTTAATAAAAGTTACACCGGGAGTAACTCTTTTCCTGCCTCACCTTCCACCTCCTCCTTCTGCCTCTGCCACTTCTCAGACATCAAAAACCTCCCTCTTCCTTCTCCTCTGCTTTCTCAATGTGAAGACAATGAGGATGAAGACCTTTAAGATGAATCATTTTGTCTTGATGACTAGTAAATAGACTTTCTCTTCCTTATGGTTTTCTTAATAACATTTTCCTTTCTCTAGCTTACATTTTTATAAGAATGCAGTACATAATACATATCATGTACAAAATATGTGTTAATTTACTGTTTACATTATCAGTAAGGCTTCCAGTGAACAATAGACTATTGGTAGTTAAGTTTTTGGGGGATCAGAAATGATACATATATTTCCTACTGCCCCTAGCCCTTGCATTATTCAAGGGTCCACTGCAATTTATTTGAACGATGATCCCAGGAGATATGAATGGAGAAGTAGTGAGCAGGAAAGGGAAACAGCAAATTCAGGGTGTACTATCAAGAACATTAACGCTGTGGGCAACTGGGGTTAATCCTGCTGAGCACCTCCAGGAGCTATTGTAGAACAAGCACTTCAGGGTTATCCTAGTGAAGGTGTGAGGGAACTGGGGCATTTTATACACCAGGTCCAGCTACTCACTTGGCGGCACTCTGAGATAACGGTAATTCTCCGGTAACTGTGGCTTACCTTGGATCAGCAGAGTAAGCGCCAGCAGATATATTCTTAGGCAAAAATGTGCCAGTATCGGCAGGTGGAGGACTCAAGGGAACATGGGTGGGACACTTACGAAGTCAGCTACAGTTAATTACTATCCACATTTGAGGTTGAGGAAACTGAGGTTCAGAGAAGTGAATTGACATGTCCCAGATCTCTTATGTAAAATGTTGGATCTGGCATTAGAATTCAGAACATTCTGACTCTAAAATCTGAACTTTTTCTACTCCTCGCGTCATCCTGCCTTACAACCTTGGGCTGGAAAGTAACTAGTGAGTCTTCGTGAACTGAAACTAGTCTGAGAACTACAACTGATATGAGGAAACGTGCTTTTGAGGGTGCCAGGGAGTTTGGAATAGTATAATTGTTCTGTGTTATAGTAATTGGGATTCACCCTGTCATAGGTTGAATTGTGTCTCCCATGACACCCCCCCTCCTCAAAAAAAAAGATGTCAAAGTCCTAACCCTTCAGTATCTTAGAATGTCACCTTATTTGGAAATAGGGATTTTTTTTCCCTAGATGAAATTAGTTAAGATGACATCATACTGGAGTAGGATCGGCCCCTAATCATATATGACTGGTGACTTTCTAAGACAGCAATATGTAGACAGAGATGCCCAAAGAGAACACTATGAGACAAAGAAAGCAGACATTGGAGTTATGCAGCCACAGCCAAGGAGCACCAAGGATTGCCAGAAAATCACCAGAAGCTAGGAAGAAGCAAGGAAAGATTCAGAGGGAGCATGGCCCACCCTGCTGATGCCTTGATTTTGGACTTCTAGTCTCCAGAACTGTGAGACAATAAATTTATATTATTTTAAGCCCCCTAGTTAGTGGTATTTTGTTAGACAGCTCTGGGAAACCAATACAAACCCATTTTTCTTTAATAAAACTTTTATTGAAACTAGTGATCGTGCAAGAGGGAGATTTGGTGCAGCTTGCAGAATTGCCCGAGTTGTAGTTCGCATGATGACTCTTCTTTGGTGTGATGTGGGTCCCTTGAGGAATCAATGCTTCTGAAACAGAAAATATATAGCAATGAGGTTTGGATGAAAATAATTTCCTTATTTAGTACTTCCTAGGCTCTACCTTGATTGATGTATCTAGCTCTGATTTCAGCTAAGGTAAAATAGACTCACTTTCATAGACAGAGAAACATGAAAATGGGAGCAGTAAAGGAACCCAGCATGAGGTTCCAGGCCCCTGCACATCTCTGGCATCTCATGTAGCCTCTTGCAAGGCATTCCCCACCTGATCCTCCAGGATTCCATGAGAAGCTTCTCCTGCTCTGCTGCACTGCCAGTACTTGAGCAACTTGCCTGGGACAAAAAATAACTAAAAGAAGATTCATTCTTAGAAATGATAATCCTTGGCCTTAGACAGAGGGAGCACTGAGGGAGCACTCTCCTCTTCGGGGGAGTGGGGAGAGTAAGGAATGAGTTTCCAAGTTGTGTTAAGAGCACCCAGAAACAGTGAGGTCATCCCATGTGCAAATGATGGTGAACTGTAGCCCACACTTGGGAAGAATGTGTATAGGCCACTTTCTGCTTCTGTCATCTTGAGACAAAATCATTTCAATGTGGCTTATGTTCTCATCACCTTGTACACTGACATGGAAAACAACTTAAAACTCTAGTGAATCTGATTTCAGTGTATTTGGGGCTGCTGCTTTGGGTGTCGCTCAGCCATCAGCAATGGACCCCTACTGAAATACCGTTACTCAAAAAGAGAGATGTACCTTTGCATCCACATTGGTTACTGTTCGGCTATGTGATACAATGGAAAAACTGTAGGTATTGGAAATGTGGAAGTCTGGATTTGAATGCTAAAACTGCTAATGCTTTCGTTGCTCTGTTTCCTTCTATGTCTGTAACTATAATGTGGACGTAAAAATACCCCTGTTACAGTGTTGAAGGATTAAATGAGGGTAAGGAGAGAATCCATGCTCTAGGTCCCTTGGAGGATCAGATGTACAAACTAAATCTATAAGAATTAAGTGCTGTGCCTGTAAGCAATCAACACCTTTTAGCTCTTCTTGTTACCGTTATCACTGTTAAGAGATAATGTATGCAAAATATCTGGCATGTCAGAAGTAGGCATATGTATTCTTTCTTAGGATGCTGCAAATTTGACCACTGCAAATATATATTGAGTCCAAAGGAACGGGAAGTAACTTATAACATATCTATCTATGTCTATATATTTATATCTATATCATCTGTCTTATAATGGTATCCAAATAAGTTTTTCTCTACTTAGGAATTTATGAAGACAAAAGACTTGTTATGGCAAACAGAATTTACCTTTCAGAGTTACAGGTAAATAGTGTACAGGCATCCCCACAGAATGATCTTGGGATAAATACCAATCCCTCCTCACTTTGACGGTGATGACACTCTTAGCCATGGCGTTAGTGTTGCCTGTCATATTTAGGGTCTATATAAGTGTTTCTCAAACTTTTCATGGGCCTACCAATCACTTGGGAACCTCATCAAGATATAAATGCAGATTCAGGGGTCTGGAGTGAAGCCTGAGGTGCTCCATTTCTGACAGGCTCCCGGGTGATGCCGATGCTCCTCATTGGCTGCACTTTGAGAAGCAAGGCAATGGATGCTTTCTTATTGTCCCCATCCTGTTCCATGGCATCTACACATCTAACTCTTTGTGGACCCCATTGTTCCTTGTCAGTTCACATCGGGCTGATTACTTCTGTGGCTCATTTACTCTTTCAACATTTATTGAGTCGTTACGATGTGCCAGAAACTATGTCAGGCACTGAAACTCACAGATGATATTCTGGATTAGATCACGGGCATGCATTTCAGTGCCATTGACATGAGTTGTAGCTTTTTTTTTCAGAGGGACAAGTGCCTGTGGGTTGTGATGTGTACTCTTGGCATTCCCCTGCCTCTTTTCAACTATCAGCGTTGTGGACTGAGTCAAGAACATGTGGTAGGGAAAGAAGTTGTCCTTTTCAAATTTAAGCCAGCTAACTCCACCCCTGTGCATCTACATAGTCTGACTCTTTGTTGGGTGCCTGCCCATTTTGACACAAAATTCTTCTCCTTTGTAAGACTCTAAATAGAATCACAGGGTCACAGTGAATTCTGCACAGCAGACAACTCAGGTAAAGTCTGGAAGATATGCCTATTTGCTTGTCTTTCTGCATTTATTATCAAAGAGGTTCCTTCCAGCCCACCCTTTCTCCAATCTTACTGGTTTCTTTCTTCCCTTTCCCAGATTTTCTCTCACCCTCAAATTCTCCTCTTATGCTAAGCAGTTTGGCTCTGTCTTAGCTCTTTCATATTTTTGTACCAGTTTTGGCAAGCAATGGCTCCTCCATTTTTCAGAGCCCATCCTCTATAGATGGTAGTAGTACATTAAGGCTAACAAACATTTCTTCTTTATGAAACATAAAATCCCAGAAACTATGGGTAAAAGAGCTTAGTAACATCTTAGTGTCCTATAGAATGAGGAAATTGTTCTGAAGAAAATAACATAAATTAGAAAGCAAACTAATACATCACCAGTGTCTCTTGCCACATGCATGCTGTAGATGGCTGAGCCAATCTTGTAACTTCATCCATTTGTTTCTGCTCTGATGGCAACAAAGAAACAGAAGCAGCTCGGCAGATTCTCTACACTGATTTCACAGTTTTTAATCCTTATGAATGAAATTGCTTAAGTTCAATCTATATTGTAAAGATTTCTTCTTGTGTTTCTATTTCTCCAGTGATTTCTGTTCTTAATTGCTATCGCATAAATCCGTGAAAATGCTAGAGGAGGAATATTCTTACAGGAAAACTTGCTTTGTAAAATTCTTATTACAAAATGTCTTCTTTCTGCACTATGGTGATAAGAGAGTCTTTATAGCTCTCCCTGACTTTCCATGGATAAAACAATTTCTGGGCTGAATGTTAGCTAAGATAATATTTTTCTTGCATTTCTTAAAAATCATTTACTCTATGATTACTTCATGTATTCTCCTATCAACTGTGTTTGCTGTGACTAGTCTCCCCACTTCCTGTCCCCACCTATGGCAGCTGGACTGAAAGACTATGCACTTGCTTTATGTTTTTGTGCTTAATGGATTCATGTCCCCTCACATGTGGACCACGTAAGTCAAGGAAGGAAATCATTTTTATGTTCTACATGTTTACTGGGGGTCGTGTCATTTCTTCTTTGACCCAAACTCTGGCTTGCTGGCATGTGAGCTTGTTTATTCTAGATAAAACATAACTTCCAATTTGGAAGTGATATGGCTTAGCAAGTCTCTTAAAAAGAATTGGAAAGATCTCTGGACATCAAAGAGCTCTTATGTGCCGACATTTTGTAGAATGTAAAAGAATCTGGAACATATGGATTAGATTCCTGTTAAAATATACACATTCCTTTTAAAAACTGCTTGAGATAAGCCACATTTTGAATTTCCTCAGCCTCTCTCTTCTCTTCCCTTCTGGTTAATATCCTATCCCACTTTCAGGACATTATTTAAATGGCCAAAAACACTGTCTTGATGTTCCTATGATTATCCATCCTGAAGAGGTTTCAGAGACCTGCTTTTTAATTTTCAATCACTTTCATCTTTTCTGATGGACAGTTCTATTTCAAATATGGGCTCCAGTGATGACTATTGTTTGCACTGTTATGTTTTTTGAACATGCATAGTTTTATTTTTCTGATTTTCTGATAAAGATAGACTGTAAGTCCATGTGATTGACCACCAATTCCCTTTTGAAACTTTTCATTGAATTTCTGATTATTAAAGTATCCCAGTTTTCTCTCTACCTCTGTGGCTACTACTTCAGAGTCTGCTTTATTGTAAGCTGTAGGAGGAGTGGAGCTTTGCTCACTGCTAGGTCTCCAGGACCCTGAACAGTACCTGGCACACAGTTGGTGCTCAATAGACATTTATTGACTTGAATAACTAAATTTTCTGAATGGAGTTGTGTTTCAGGCTTTATCCTTAACATCTATTCTTGAACTCTTTCTACCTTACTTCCTTATAAATCTCAGCCACTCCTATTCTCTCAACTGGTACTCACTGGCCCATCTATCCTCCTGCTTCCTCTATCATGACCCCAATTATGCACAGACACCAATTAGCTGTCTTCCCATCACCTTAGGGGAAAAAACAGTGTAATTCACATTCTTTCCTATAGTCTTGGAGTCAATCTTTGTTTCCACCTTTGCTTTCCCCACGGTTATCTAGACATTTTTAGCATCATTTACATTCTTCCTTTTTTAATGTCTTCGTTCTTTCCACTTCTATTACCAGTTCTCTAGTATTTTGTCACAATACAATATTTCCTCTAAGCTTATCCCCCTCCCTTTCATATCTATCTTTACACTGTTGCTAGATTTATATTCTAAAATCTTGCTGTGCATATATGGTTTATGTGCTCAGAAACGTTCAGTGCAATAGGACTCTTTGGAAAAGGATGATAATTTTTTATTTGAATTCTCAAGGTCCTTCACCCTTTTGTCCAAGTCTATGTCCCTAACTTCATCAAAATCGAAATGGCATCTGCCAGAGTCCTAAGAGCCTTCTTAGAGGAGATGACAATTGAGTTTAATCTAGAAATGATCAGTGGGCTTTAGTGGTGGGGGCGGGGGGTAGAGTGGATGTGGAATTCCAGGGAAAGAAAATCTTTTGAACATATGATAGGGAGATCTGAAAGGGAATGGCTTGTTTTGAGTGGGCAGGCAATTAAGCATGATGACTTCAGAATTTCTACATAGGAGAGCTTGGGGGCAGCATTCTGGTTGTAAAAAAGAGCTAAGAAACATGCGTGAAAGTTGTGTTCACATAGTACCTTGGCGTAAAATGATAAGCTATTCATTATTCATACTAAAAATGGGAGTGTGTGGCTTCTGGATGTTACTGGAGGGGATGGGCTCATCTCTTCTAACACATCTCCATGGCTCTGTATCCAGGACAATCTGGAGAATTGGCTAAGATAAGTTGTAGAGGAGACAGAAGCAGGTAGAACTAGATAATGGAAAATGCCGTTAACCATGTGAAGGATCTTTTGCAAGGTTTAAAATGATCAGCTTGAGGTCTCAGAAAGTTGAGTCTGGCTAGAGTATGGAGGGTCCATTGGGAGACGATGAAAATGGAGACAACAGGTGAATTAGGAGCAGTGACATGGATGCAAAAAATAATTGAGCTCGTTCTTTACTACAACTTTTTTTGATTGATAAGAAAACATTTTATCTACGAGGTAGTTACACTAAAATATTATAATACATAACATTTATTGAGCTATGTTTTAAACATTTTTTAGCCTCTTTCCATGAACTAATTTGCTTAATCTTTATGACAACCCTGTATTTAAGGATTTATTGTTTTCTTTCATTTATAGATTAAAAAAATGAGGCACAGGCAGGTTAAGCAATGTGCCCAAGGTTCACAGGCGTAAAGAATTAGAATTAGACTTAGGTCTTAGGTGGCCTGATTCCAGAGCTAGTGCTACTAATTATTATGTTAAATTGCTTGTTCATGACAACAATGTTTTTATATTCTAATAATAAATTATTCAGAAGATCAATAAGGTGCTATATCAACTGCAGTGCCTTACACATAGGATACTTGTAATTACTATCTGTTGAATCAACAAGTAAGTTTTACTAATAATAAATGTTCATCAAGCATTTTCTATATACCAGGCACTGGGCAAAATGCTTTACATAAATTATTTAGTCCTCATAATAGTCCTGTGAAGTAAATATAACAAAATACTAATAGTTAACATTTATATAATCAGTATTACTAAATAGGTTTATATAATCTATTTTGATTTACATAAAAATCATATAAATAACATTTTGGCTCTTGTTTTGAGGTCAAAAGACACGCCCAGGTCATAAAGCTAATACATTGTGAAACTAATGCTTGAACCCAAGTCTTCTGATCCTAAATATTGCTAACACTACACTGCCTGTCAGAGATCTTGATCTCATTATAAAACACTATTCTCTTGTAAGAGTTAAACTAACCAAAGACTATCATACACGGAAGGAAGTTTGGTGCTTGCCCTTAAAAGGTGGGAGTACAGATGTCAGAGAACATTCCAGGTAATAGGAATGATTGTCAAAGAAGAAAAGAAGGTTGGAAAATGTGAGGTATTTTTGATGTTTAGCAGCTCAGGTGTGTGACAGGTACTTAGCAAACTGTAAAGACATGATATAAACATTAGTAGTTATTATAATGGAGTTATTACTAGAGTGTGCCAATTTGGATTCCTGACACATGTAGTATTTTGTTTGGATAAAAGGAGAAATCCCAAACTGTTCAAGCAACTGGAACACATATTATACACATATATACGTTGGAGGACTGGACCCCTGCCATTCCTATTTTTATATGTTGAAATCTCGAACTGTCTAATCGTGGTGGTACAAAGTTCACTCCCTCAGCAGCCAAGATTGATTTTTTCTTTGAGTAGACATGCTTCACAGAAGTACCCTTTCCCGTTATATTTTGAAAGTCATCAGACATGCTGTTATAAATGATCACGGAAGATTACTGGAGATGCTGCAAAATAATAGTGAACCAGGTAGCATCTGTAATTTCCAAGGATAGCTCGCAATCATCACTCAGAATGAACCTTATCTGAGTGCAGGGCTGAACTTTTTCTTTTCCTCCCTCTCTCTTCCTTTTACTACTTTATAACATAGCTGAAATAGATACTGCTCCTCATGAATTTTTATGCAAAATATTAAGTTGCAAGCCACTGCTGTGCAGACAGACTCTCTTTGTGAAGATGAGAGTTAGCCTGCATAGTTCAATGGCTGACATCCTCAGATACAAAGACTTCATGTCAAACTGACCAGCTGAGAGTAAAAGTCCATGCTGGTTGCTGGCCCAAAAAGGGCTTTAGATGCCTCTTGGTTCAGACTTTCATATAGGCAGAGAGGAAAATTATTCCATGTTTGTTGACTGATTCAAAACTGCTCAAGGTATCTATTTTCTTAAGACATTATATATATCAGTCTCTCCCCAAGTCCTACTGACTTTTTCTCATTAATGTCTCTTGAATCCACATT
Organism: Homo sapiens; assembly: GCF_000001405.40. Lineage (NCBI taxonomy): Eukaryota > Metazoa > Chordata > Mammalia > Primates > Hominidae > Homo > Homo sapiens. The sequence continues at coordinate 106,146,862 of NC_000009.12, forward strand.
GTGTCTCTCTGTCTATGCTGTCATAACCAGCTCAGCCTCTTTCCTCTTTTCTCAATCATACCATTGTAGCTGCTTTTGACTTGATACCCCTTCCTGATGCCTTTCCTCTTTCTTCCATTTCTTTACCAGCTACTAGAGTGATTTTTCTGCCTTCCAGACCTTGTTTTTGCCTCCTTTGTTGTAAAATCTCTGATGGCTCCCACATTGCATAAGGGAGAAAGTCCAAGCTTCTTGGCAGGACATTGGTGGTTTTTCATTACCTGGCCACAACCAGCCTTTACTTTAACTTTCTGGTTACTTCCTGTCATGCTACCCCCAAATGTGGCATGTAATTTTCTGCTTCTATGCATTTCCTTACCCACTTTCTGAAGCTTTTCCTGGTTTCAACCCCATTTCTTTCCCAGGGAAAAAAAAAAGTTTTTTTCCATGTGTGTCCCTAAAAAATGTAATCCAGGGAAAAATTATTGATGGCCTAATTTGCACCAGACACTGTATTTTATCCTTGAAACTAAGAAATGTCACACTTCAGTTGGGAGAGTTCGGGAGATGAATAAAGGAACAGATAATTATAACCCAATGAAGTAAACATAATAAAGGAAGGCTTAAATAAAAACCAGAGGAAGACTTTGTAGATGCTCTATCTAAAGTTTCCTATCTTTGTATACCCATTCTTTATTATGTTATCCGGTTTTCTTTTCATATGTATATATATATATATATTTTGTTTTTTTGTTTTGTTTTGTTTTTGATTTTTTTATACTTTAAGTTCTAGGGTACATGTGCAGAGCATTCAGGTTTGTTACATATGTATACATGTGCCGTGTTGGTGTGCTGCACCCATTAACTCGTCATTTACTTTATGTATACTCCTAATGCTATCCCTCCCCCTTCCCCCCACCCCACAACAGGCCCCAGTGTGTGATGTTCCCTGCCCTGTGTCCACGTGTTCTTATTGTTCAATTCCCACCTATGAGAGAGAACATGCGGTGTTTGGTTTTTTGTCCTTGTGATAGTTTGCTGAGAACGATGGTTTCCAGCTTCATCCATGTCCCTACAAAGGACATGAACTCATCATTTTTTATGGCTGCATAGTATTCCATGGTGTGTATATGTGCCACATTTTCTTAATCTAGTCTATCATTGATGGACATTTGTGTTGGTTCTTTGCTATTGTGAATAGTGCTGCAATAAACATATGTGTGCATGCATCTTTACAGCAGCATGATTTATAATCCTTTGGGTATATACCCAGTAATGGGATGGCTGGGTCAAATGGTATTTCTAGTTCTAGATCCCTGAGGAATCGCCACACAAACTTCCACAATGGTTGAACGAGTTTACAGTCCCGTCAACAGTGTAAAAGTGTTCCTATTTCTCCACATCCTGTCCAACACTTGTTGTTTCCTGACTTTTTAATGATTGCCATTCTAACTGGTGTGAGATGGTATCTCATTGTGGTTTTGATTTGCATTTCTCTGATGGCCAGTGATGATGAGCATTTTTTCATGTGTCTTTTGGCTGCATAAATGTCTTCTTTTGAGAAGTGTCTGTTCATATCCTTCGCCCACTTGTTGATGGGGTTGTTTGTTTTTTTCTTGTAAATTTGTTTGAGTTCTTTGTAGATTCTGGATATTAGCCTTTTGTCAGATGAGTAGATTGTAAACATTTTCTCCCATTCTGTAGGTTGACTGTTCACTCTGATGGTAGTTTCTTTTGCTGTGCAGAAGTTCTTTAGCTTAATTAGATCACATTTGTCAATTTTGGCTTTTGTTGCCATCGCTTTTGGTGTTTTAGACATGAAGTCCTTGCCCATGCCTATGTCCTGAATGGTAATGCCTAGGTTTTCTTCTAGGGTTTTTATGGTTTTAGGTCTAACATTTAAGTCTTTAATCCATCTTGAATTAATTTTTGTATAAGGTGTAAGGAAGGGATCCAGTTTCAGCTTTCTACATATGGCTAGCCAGTTTTCCCAGCACCATTTGTTAAATAGGGACTCCTTTCCCCATTGCTTGTTTTTGTCAGGTTTGTCAAAGATCAGATAGTTGTAGATGTGTGGTATTATTTCTGAGGGCTCTGTTCTGTTCCATTGATCTATATATCTGTTTTGGTACCAGTACCATGCTGTTTTGGTTACTGTAGCCTTGTAGTATAGTTTGAAGTCAGGTAGCGTGATGCCTCCAGCTTTATTCTTTTGGCTTAGGATTGCCTTGGCAATGTGGCCTCTTTTTTGGTTCCATATGAACTTTAAAGTGGTTTTTTCCAATTCTGTGAAGAAAGTCATTGGTAGCTTGATGGCATTGAATCTATAAATTACCTTGGGCAGTATGGCCGTCTGAAACTATTCCAATAAATAGAAAAAGAGGGAATCCTCCCTAACTCATTTTCGGAGGCCAGCATCATCCTGATACCAAAGCCTGGCAGAAACACAACCAAAAAAGACAATTTTGGACAAATATCCCTGATGAACTTCGATGCAAAAATCCTCAGTAAAATACTGGCAAACCAAATCCAGCAGCACATCAAAAAGCTTATCCACCATGATCAAGTGGGCTTCATCCCTGGGATGCAAGGCTGGTTCAAACTATGCAAATCAATAAACGTAATCCAGCATATAAACAGAACCAAAGACAAAAACCACATGATTATCTCAATAGATGCAGAAAAGGCCTTTGACAAAATTCAACAGCCCTTCATGCTAAAAACTCTCAATAAATTAGGTATTGATGGGACGTATCTCAAAATAATAAGAGCTATTTATGACAAACCCACAGCCAATATCATACTGAATAAGCAAAAACTGGAACATTCCTTTTGAAAACTGGCACAAGACAGGGACGCCCTCTCTCACCACTCCTATTCAACATAGTGTTGGAAGTTCTGGCCAGGGCAATCAGGCAAGAGAAAGAAATAAAGGGTATTCAGTTAGGGAAAGAGGAAGTCAAATTGTCCCTGTTTGCAGATGACATGATTGTATATCTAGAAAACCCTATCGTCTCAGCCCAAAATCTCCTTAAGCTGATAAGCAACTTCAGCAAAGTCTCAGGATACAAAATCAATGTGCAAAAATCATAGGCATACTTATACACCAATAACAGACAAACAGAGAGCCAAATCATGAGTGAATTCCCATTCATAATTGCTTCAAAGAGAATAAAATACCTAGGAATCCAACTTACAAGGGATGTGACAGTTGTATTTTCTTTACAGAATTTATTGCCTAAGTTTATTTATCCTGTTGTTTCCTTGTTTATTTTGGCTCCTCCACTGAATTACAAGTTCTGTATAAGCAGATCTTTGGATTCTTTCATTTACTCTCGTAACCTGGTGTTTAGAAAATTGCTTGGCATACTACAGGTGCTTGAGAAATATTTGTTGACTAAATAAATGTGATTGGAGAAGACTTCCTGCTCCCTTTTCCCTGTCCTCCTCCTTTTATCTTTCTCCTAGGTTAACCAAGAGTGGCCTAAAGTCTACTGCAGCCATTGAGTCATTATGATTATGATGTGCTTGATGTAAAATATAAATTTTATTTTATTCTGGGGATTTTTCTGACCTTCTATTACTCATATTCATTTATATATACATCTATTGATTATGCATATCACAAATGTGCTAACCACCATGCTAGATGTAGAAAAAGAAAGATGAAAAAGTAGAAGTCTCTTAAGTAACTTATTACAGCAGATTAAACAGACACTCATACACCAAGATAAGTGCTTTTAATTGTAGTTAACACAAAGGTACATCATTTTGAGGAGGGCACAGATTACTTTCATTGCACCTCATATTCTAGGCTCTATCTTTGGGCTATCTTAAATTTTCTTAAAATACAAATCATTTAATATTTATGGACAGCTACTTTGTGCACAATGCTTAGATATGGAGATACAAATGGGAATGGTAGGTTCCATCTTCCTAGGCTACTGGAAGTCCAGTAGATTCTTCCCAAAAGGAATTTGAGTGTTCCACAATGGATATCAAAATCCTGGCAAAAAGAAGGTAACACAAACATGTTAATCATGGTCAATCAAATATAAACTGTCTTCACATTTGGATTTGAAATTACTTTCTGCAAAGGCAAAATAGGAACTGGATTAGATTATAGAGCTTTTCAATGTGACAAAGTTGTGATTTTTGATGGATACTCTATTCTCTTTATATGCAATTCTTACAAAAAATTTTAGAGGATCTAATATCAGAGTCATCAAATGATTAACATACAATGTCCTACAAAATAGCTTTTGTAACCACAATTAAATCTAATAACTGGCATTTATTGAATAAGGAGCTCCTGTAAATATGCATATACACCTCTCTTTTAATTCTCAACCTTATATGATGGATGCACTTATTCTCTCCAATTTGCAGATGGGGAAACCAAAAGCCCAAGAGTGAAACAATTTATCAAGGACTCACCACTAATAAGTGGTAGAGCCAGTAATCACATTCAGGTAGCCTGACTGCAGAGCCCATGCCTTTCCTCTGAGAAATACAGAAGGGAGTAGAATGAAGCCTCCTGACATTAACTCTCCATGAAACTCTGTTCATGTCAGTAAAGAACAACTCAGGACACGTCTGTGATTGTTTCACTCTGTGTCTCCTGTTGGTTCCTTGACCCTTTGGTAAAACGCCTAAGAGAGGGGTTTGCAATGGAACAGAATAGAGAACCCAGATATGAGGCTGCACATCTACAATATGTGATCTTCAACAAAGCTGCAATGGGGAAAGAGCTCCCTATTCAATTAATGGTTCTGGGATACTGGCTAGCCATATGCAGAAGATTGAAATAAGACCCCTTCCTTACACCATATACAAAAATTAACTCAAGATGGGTTAAAGACTTAAACGTAAAACACAAAACTATAAAAAACCTGGAAGACAGCCTAGGCAATACCATTGTGGACATAGGAATGGACACAGATTTTATGATAAAGATGCCAAAAGCAACTGCAACAAAAGCAAAAATTGGCAAATGGGATCCGATTAAACTAAAGAGCTTCTGCACAGCAAAAGAAACTATCAACAGAGTGAACAGACAACCCACAGAATGGGAGAAAAATTTACAGACCATGAACCTAACAAAGGTCTAATATCCAGCATCTATAAGGAACTCAAATTTAAAAGAAAAAATCAACCCCCTTATAAAGTGAGCAAAGAATATGAACAAACACTTTTCAAAATAAGACATACATGCAGTTAACCATCTTAAAAAAAAAGCTCAACATCACTGATCATTAGAGAAATGCAAATCAAAACCACAGTGAGATACCATCTCACACCAGTCATAATGGCTGTTACTAAAAAGTCAAAAACTAACATGCTGGAGAGGTTGTGGAAAAAAAAGAATGCTTGTTCACTGTTGGTGGGAGTGTAAATTATTTCAACCATTGTGGAAGACAGTGTCGCAATTTCTCAAAAATCTAAAAAAAGAAATACCATTCTACCCAGCAATCCCCTTCCTAGGCATATACCCAAAGGAATATAAATTGTTCTGTCATAAAGACATATGCACGTGTGTGTTCATTACAGCACTATTCACAATGGCAAAGACATGGAATTAACTTAAATGCCCATCAATGTAAACTGGATAAAGAAAATGTGGTACATATACAGCATGGAATACTCTGCAGCCATAAAAAAGGATGAGATCATGTCCTTTGTAGGGCCATGGATGGAGCTGGAGGCCATTATCCTTAGCAAAGTAATACAGAAACAAAAAAACCAAAGACTGCATGTTCTCACTTACAAGTGGGAGCTAAATGTTGAAAACACATGGACACATAGAAGGGAATAACACACACTGGGACCTATCAGAAGGTGGAGGATGGGAGGAGGGAGAGGATCAGGAAAAATAACTAATGAATATTGGCCTAATACCTGGCTAATGAGGTCTGTACAATAAACCCATATGACAGAAGTTTACTTATATAACAAACCTGCACATGTACTCCTGAACTTAAAAGTTAAATTTAAAAAGGAGTGGTTTGATAGTATGAATATTTTCCCTCAATGCCCAGGAGCTTCTGACAGGGCCCAGACTGCAGGCATTATGGACTGAAATTGCCTCATAAGGCTCCGTGTATTTGGTTGAGTATGGGGTATTATAATTTGGAAGCTAGAGGAGCAGATAGTAGGGTTGGCATTCCATATGAAAGCTGAGAACCCCAGCAAATGTTCCTCCCTTGATGACAGACCTCTTCATTTCCTCATGGAGAAAGGTCATAGGGAATCTACAGACAAAGTCAGGGTTTCTCTTAGAATAAGCTTTTGATTAATTCTAGCTTTGAATTCACGTTTTGACCAGCTAAAACCCTTGGAGGGATTTCTGTTGCTGACTCTTGGAAAAAAGTTTGTCAAGGTGGCACCTCTTACTTTCATCTACCAAACTGAAGGGAATGAGGCTGAAAGAATATGCTGAAAAATCTACTTGAGCCCAGGCTGCATTTTTTTTTCCTATCAACTTTATACATTTCATGCCTTGTTTCTTAAAAGAAAAAAATACTGTAGGTGAACTTTACAATGAATGCTCTGAACAAGTCCTTTAAATGACTCTATAATGAGAAAACTCTTTTGTATGAATTTGTGAAGTTCACAGTCAATGCTGATCAATAAATTCTGCACAAGTTATTTTTTAAAAATGTAATTTATCATAGGGTGGGGGAAAGAATGTACAGATTGGATTGCTTCTTCCAACTTTCAGAGATAAAGAATAGATTTGATAGCAATGAGACTAAAGTATCTTGCCACACTGCCCGCACTGCCTCAACCCCCTCCTCCTCACCAACTCCTACTCCTGGTTTTCCTTTTCTAGTGCCCTGTCTGTAGTAACCCTGGCTGGGGCTGCTGTGGATTCATCAATGGTGCTTCGACGAAGCTGGAAACCATCATTCTCAGCAAACTATCGCAAGGACAAAAAACCAAACACCTCATGTTGTCATTCATAGGTGGGAACTGAACAATGAGAACACCTGGACACAGGAAGGGGAACACCACACAGCGGGGCCTGTCTTGGGGTGAGGGGAAGGGGGAGGGATAGCATTAGGAGATATACCTAATGTAAATGACAAGTTAATGGGTGCAGCACACCAACATGGCACATGTATACATATGTAACAAACCTGCACGTTGTGCACATGTACCCTAGAACTTAAAATATAATTAAAAAAAGAGAAAAATTCAAAGATGTATGATACTTCCTGGACAGCAGATAGTACATTTCAGCACCTTTTTTCATGGATTTCTGACATACCTTCTTTAATACCTGTAACTCAGAAGGACATCATTCTTAGATGTTGTGGGCTCCATCCTCAGTTTTCAAATTGCCCATTTCCCAGGAAGAACTGTGGTAGTAATATTTTGAGTTGCTTTTATTGTTTAGGAGTTTATCTCCTTTCAGTAGAGCAGACTAGAACATGAGTATTAGAATTTAACTGCGTGCTTTTGAATCTTAGCCGTATCATTAGGCCTTGGAAAAATTCTTTCAGCTGTGTAAGCTTCAGTTTCTTCATCTATAGGATAGGAATAATAGTAGTGTGTCTGCCCTTATATGGCTAATCACAAAGTAAAGTGCTTATGTGTGAAGTATAGTGATTTGTTCACATCAATTATTCAATTAACTTTTCTTATAATTATGGTTGAGTTATATGACTTTCGTTGTCTTAAAAATAATAAATATATGTTTTTCTTCTCTGAATCCCAGAATTTAGTATGGGATACAGCACACTGGATTAATGACAGCAATGAAGCCTGAGTATGATGGTTCCATGGATCCTCTCAAGTCAGCTCCTAAATTAGTGTTCTCCTTTGCATTTTAGTCTTGGCTCTGCTATGAGTTCAGTGTGACCTGGGAGTGGTATCCTTTGCCTTCCCAGAAAATGTGGGATGGTCAGGTAGGTCTTTGGAGCTCTGAAATTCCTTGCTTCTTTGACATTCTCTCCTTGGTGTTCTGGTTTCTTATGGTGACCAAATATCCCGCACTGTCAGGATGCAGAATATATTGGCCTATGTACCATCAGACCCAGAAGTCATGAGTCAAACGGTTGACTGATTTTGAGGAGAGCAGCTCAAACCTAGGAGTCAAGAGGCATGGCCTGGAGTTGTAAAATCTTCATTCTATTCCTTGTGCTGCTTTTTCTGGATGTTTGACTATGGGCAAGTCCCCTAGCCTCTCTTGGCCTGCTCTCTATGTAGGTATGATGACCTTTACTCTGTTTATTGCTCAGAGTGGTGATGAGGTTCCAAGAAAATGAGTATTTGGTCAACTGCAACATGTACACAGTTGTAGTCGTGCTGCCATGGTTTTTGTGTTAGGATGCAGTTTCCCTTGCTTTAGGAGTTTACAGAGATGAGGATACAGAGATTTTTTCAGAGAAAGCCAGCAGACATTTACTCAGAGTGGTCAGATCATGCTTAACTTCTGGGCAGAACATAAAAGTTGTGAATTACAGGCCATGAAGAGAACTGGACTGCAATGACTCTAGGAATAATAATTATAATTGAATTCATAACAACAGCAGAAGCTTCTTTCAGTTAAGTGCATATTATGTGACAGGCACCGAACTAAGTGCATTAAATTTATTATCTCATTTAATCCTCACAACAAACCCATGAGGTAATAAGTACTCTTATTATCTCCATTGTGCTAGCGAGCAAGCAGGTTCAAGGGGGTCTCAGAGTTAATAAGTGTGATTGAACAGGTTGGCATAATTCCCAAGTTTGGGCTCTTTACTCCTGCATTATCTCACATCCAAGGAGTGGAAACAGAATGAAATTAGGGTCGTGCCCAACCTAGTGTTACTTTACTGAAAGTTTATGCCCTCTGGCCTCTTATATCTTAACTGAAACTAAGTTTATTTTCAGGATGTTAATTTCTTCTTAGCCAGTTTCTTCTCCCAAGGAAGAGGCTATGGATCTGGAGCTTTGGACAATGAAATAAATGATGAATCCTTAAGCAAACTAGAGGTGAGGGCTGCCTAGGAGAGAGCTGAAGCATGGCTAGGAGACCTGAAAAGGGTGACAACTGTGACAAATAAGGTATTAATAGGAATCAGTTTAATAAGGGAAACAAGGAAGAGCCCAGGCCATGGTGGTACCATGAGACTTATCTGGGACATATCTGAGAGGACAGGGCCTGAGCTTGGACTCACTTCTCCTCAAGACCAAATTTGCCTAATGAAAAGTTGAGGCCACTTTCAGCGAAGGAAACACTGCTTCTCAGGCAACCTGGCATTGACTTCAGGAAAACTAAGAAGGCCTTCACTTGACACAATCTTATTATCTTGGAAGTGAGTAAAACAGATTTTTGAAGACTTAACCTTGCAATTTCTACTAACCAAAAACACCATTTCTACTGGTTACTGAGGACTGTTCTGCAGCAGACATTACACTAACCTTTTACCTCTATTCACCCTCTCCATCATAATGAGCTGGGTATTGTTCATCCCAATTTTAAATGAAAAACTGAGGGTCAGGGAGAGTACACAACTTGTCCACAGTCACACTGCTTGTGAGAGAATATGATTGAGATTTAAATCCAGGTCTATCTTAATCATGTCCCTCTATAGCTTCCTAAAACTGAGACAAAGGAAGCCTAAACACTATTACATTTGCATAACATCTGGTAATCTTTTATCTGTGTGCTGAGCCATTGTTTGAAGATGTAAAAGAAACCAAGTTAAATACTTTTGCATTCTATAGTATTTTGACAATTCTCATCCTTCTGCATAGTCTTATTTTGGTTTTTTGCCAAGTGTGTAAATACATGTGGGGATATGTTACCCTAAGAGAGCAGGGTGCAGAATTCTTACTTCCTGCCTGAGGTTTCCTCTTCTCTGCCAAACAGAATGCATCTGGCCTATTACAGATAAAATAAGCAGACACTAGTCAGGAGAAACTGAAGCCCAAGGGAGGTGAGGAGATGGCACAGAAGTCTTGGCTTTGTAAAAATGAATGCCGGACATTTGACTCAAAACTGTTTATATACTAAGGCTCTGAGAAAATGTCTATATGTGGCTCTTTGTCTCACAGATAATTAAAAAGATAGTATTCACCAAGATCTGTCAATTCTAGCTTCTAAGTATCCCTTAATTCTGCCAACTTCTATCTTACTGCTGTTTTCCTTATGTTAGCCACCATCATCTTGAACCCCAGTTACTGAAAGGGCCCTCTAAAAGGTCTCCTCAAATTCTGTCTTCCCTCCTACCCCATCTAATCCATTCTCCACACTACAGTCAAGATGTTCTTCCTAAAGAACATCTTGTTTATCCAGTCATTCCTGTTTCAAATAGGTCAATAAATGTTTCTTGATGATCTTAGGGTAAAACACAAACTTCTTAAGAGTAGTTACAAGCAGCTTCATAATCCTGTTTCTCTAGGTTCATTCCTAGCACTTCCTTCCCTTCCCTTCAAGATCTTCCCAGAACCAGGACTCCTGCAACATTAACCACCCATTGATTTGCCAACTTCTTTCTTGTTGCTGGGCAGAAGTGTATACTGTTCTTTTTGTCTCCTTTAAGGACCCTTCCTTCTTAACATGACTTAGTACTACTTACTTTATGAAATATCTGCTTGGAGATCACTTTCTCTGGAAAAGTGCCATTGACTCCTCCAATTCTCTGAACAACTGGCCTATATAGGGAAGGATTAGACTGATTGTGGTGTCAGGGATTAGAGCTGAGGATAATGTATGAAAAGCTATGAAGCACAGACTTCAGCTAAATTCAAAAAAGACATTTCCAACATTCATAATGGTCCACAGACTGAGTTAGGCAATGAGTTTCCCGTCACTGAGAGCGAGCAGAACAAGGATGGACAGTCCTTTGGAGGGGAAAGTGAAGAACATTTCTGAACACTAAGGCGGGGGTTTATGGGAAAAAAGGAAGGAAAAACAGGATGATTTTCCACTGTCTTTTCTGAGGATTTATGAGTTTAGTCTCTATAATTGCATTAAATAAACAATTTTCTTTCTGTTTTTAATATTCCTTTCTTTTCTTTCTCTCTCTTAATCTCTTTCTCTTTCTTTCTTTTTCAACTTCTTTGAGAACTACTAGCACTATTATAGATGAGAAACAGAGTGATAGTTACACCAGCATAACTAATAATAAACAGGCAGAGATAATATGCCCCCTTCCCCTTGTGGTATTTGTGTGCCTCTATATAAAAGAAAAAGAGTTTCCCTTACTTTCTTCTTAGAGAAGACAGCTTCACTAGTAAAAATGAGGTTTTTCAGTAGGGAGACTCTCCCAGGTATAAGAACTATATTTTCTCCTATTTTTGTTTATCAGAATGAAATGGGGCAGCCTCTCTTGGCTGCACCTTGTCAGGGAAAAATTTGTCTAGATATACGACTCCATCAACACCAGGATGGGGCAGGAGTGGAGGAAAGGAAGAATGCATTCTTAGAGAGGAAAGTTGTTGGGTTAGCATTCTCTATACACATTTTCCCTTATGAGAGAGATATAGCATCTCCAGAATACCTGCACACACAGGTTGGAGCAGCCAGGATGTGCTGTCCAGAAGAATAAAGTTTCATTAATAAATTCTATAAATATTTATTGAGCACCTACAGGTGCTGTTCTTGGTGATAGTAATATAGTGAATGTGTCAAAAATCCATAGCCTTATGAGCTTACCTTCCAGTGGAGGATATTGAACAAGTAATCAAATAAAAGCATATTATACTTTCAGGCAATAAAAAATGCTGCAGAGGGTAAAGAACTATGTTATGCTGCAGCAACAAACAAGCTGCAAATCTCCATGGCTTGCAATAACCAAAGAGGCTGCCTTGTTCTGGCTGCGTGTCTACCATAGGTGGGCTGTACCCCTGTTCCACATGTTTACCTTGGGGCCCAGGATGACAGAGTAGCCTCAATCCAGAACATTTCCATTCATGGTGGCAGAAAGGAAAAAGATAAGAAACTGGGCCGGGCGCGGTGGCTCACGCCTGTAATCCCAGCACTTTGGGAGGCTGAGGCGGGCGGATCATGAGGTCAGGAAATCGAGACCATCCTGCCTAAGATGGTGAAACCCCGTCTCTACTAAAAATACAAAAAATTAGCCAGGCGTGGTGGCGGGTGCCCGTAGTCCCAGCTACTCCGGAGGCTGAGGCAGGAGAATGGCGTGGACCTGGGAGGTGGAGCTTGCAGTGAGCCGAGATCTCGCCACTGCACTCCAGCCTGGGCAACAGAGCGAGACTCCATCTCAAAAAAATAAAAATAAAAAAAAATAAGACACCACAGCCTGGCTTTTAAAGCTTCTGCCTGGAAGTGGCACACATCATACCTGTCCACATTTTATTAACCATAGCAAAGTAAAAGGCCTTTCCTGAGTTCTGGTATCCTCCCATTGACTGGGTACCATAGGCAGGGAAGCAGGAGTGTTGGAGAATAGTGATACCATTTAACAGAGAGCACACATTTAACAAGGGAATCGGGGAAGTATCCTCTGAATGAAATTGGGAAGTAATCCACATGAAGATATGAGCAAAACCTGCTCTAGTTAGAAAGCACAAAGGGTCTGCTGAAGTAACGAAGGTGGTATGTTTGAAGAATAGCAAGAAGGCAAGTGTGGCGGGGGCACAGAGAACGAGAAGGGTGGTAGGAGAGAGAGGAGGTCAGGAAACTAGGCAGGGGCACAGTCACTGGGAAATGATGGTGCTGTCTATTGAGTGCCCGCCCTATACCAAGCACTTCTTTAGGCTCTTGGGACATATCAGTGAATAATACGGACATGATCTTACACAACTTCACATTTTAGTAGAGAACATAAAAAAAATAAATAAGTAAATTATATAACACATTAGATGGTGACAAGTGCTATGTAAAAACAGATCAGAGCAAATGGGATTAGGAAGAGAGGGATGGTGGGTTTCAATTTTAAATGTGGTCATTGTAAGCATCATTTTAAAAAATGGTATTTCAACAAAGACTTGAAGGAGGTGAGAGTGTTAGTTATGCAATCATTATGGTTAAGAAGACCAGGCCTGGCGCGGTGGCTCATGTCTGTAATTTCAGCGGTTTGAGAGGCTGAGGCTGGTGGATTATTTGAGGTCAGAAGTTCAAGACCAGCCTGGCCAACATGGTGAAACTCTGTCTCTACCAAAAATACACAAAAATTAGCTGGATGTGGTGGCATGTGCCTGTAACCCCAGCTACTTGGAAGGCTGGGATGGGAGAATCACTTGAACCCAGGAGGCAGAGGTTGCAGTGAGCCGAGATTGTGCCACTGCCATCTAGCTTGGGCAACAGAGTGAGACCCTGTTTCAAAAAACAAAAAACAAGAAAACCCCCAAACATCTGGAGTTTATTCTTTTAGTATGAATGAATGGGAAGCCTTTGGAGCGCTTAGGTCAAGGGAATGTCATGATCTGACTTATGCTGGAAATATGATCACTCTGGCTGCCATGCAGGGAAAAACTAAAGAGTATAGCAAGGGTGAGGGTGGGACAAAGGTGGCAGTGAAGATCAGTGAGGAAGTATTGCCTCTTATTAGTTCATGTGAGAGAAGGAGGCTTGAACTAGGATGGTAGGTATGGAGGTGGAAGCGTTGAGAAATGACCAATGTTTAGGAACATTTTAAGGATGAGTAAATACTGTCTGGCATATGGATTGGATGACTTCTAGGTTTTGGCCTGAGGAGACTTCTCATTTACTGAGTTTGGAAGGGCCGAAGAGGAACAGATGGAGCAGGGTGCAAGCTGCAGGAGTAAATGGGAATCAGAAGTTCTCTTTTAGACATGTAAATTTTGAGAAGCCTAGTGAACATCCGTGTGGAAGTTTGGAGAAGTTAATCAGTCAACAAGGTGGAATTAGGGGAGACGTTGGGGACGGAAATTCACATTTAGGCATCGTGACAGAATAGATGATATTTAATTATGAGCCTGGTTGAGCATACCTTGGATAAACAGAGAATAAATGAGAGTTAAGGACTGAGCCCTTGGGCATCTCAACATTTAGAAATTAGAATGAGGACAAGTTGGCAAAGAAGCAAAATAGAAGAAAAGTCTAATAAACCAATGAGCAAAGCAAACCATCAAAACAGAAACAAAACAGGAAGTGTGCTTTTCTAGAAGTCAAAAGGGACAAGTGTTTCAAGAGGGAGAAGGAAATTAACCCTACCAAATGTTGCTGAGACATCAAGTATGCTTGAGACTGGAAGTTGTCCGTTGTCTTTATCAAGATGGAGGGCACTGGGAGCCTTATAGAATCCGTTTTTGTGGCATGGTGGGGATGAAGACTTGATTAGAGTATTTTTACTAGAGAACAGAAGGTAGACAAATAGAGATAGTGAGAAAAGTCAAATTTTCTTAGAATAATGTGACAAGTAGCTAGAAGGAGCTGTGTGGCCAACAGAGATTTTGTTTTCATTTAATTTTATTTTTGTTAGTTTACATGGGAGGTATTACACCATGGCTGTGTCTGATGGAAACGGCCCTTTCAAGTCAGGGCTGTGTCCTACAGTTTAGAGCTGTGTGGCCCTTCACAGCATAGGCTCTTATGCACTGACTCTGCCAATTTGTCTTGGTTTTAGTCTTTCCTCAAAGCCACCAAGTCACGTAATAACGGAGGCAGAAGTTGAATTCACAGACCATCTCACTCAGGTTTTTCTGACTTATCCAATCTTATTTGGTACCAGAAGTAAGAGAGCTTTCCCCTTGAGTAACGTTTTTTTTGGCACTCCTCAGTCCTCTTAGTGTTTGGTAGCACTGATTTCTCAATTTTAATTTCTTTCTGATTCACATTACTTTATTACCTGACTTAGATCTGCATCCTCTGTAAGGGGAGTCAACTATAAGTCTTAGAGACTAATGATCAACATGAAGGAACTATGTCTTTGCCTCACACCTGCCTTAAGATTGTTTTCAAAGTCTGTTAATACAGTCTTTTAAGCAGGACAGCCAATCCTCAAGGAAGATTTAGAAGCAGAAAAGTAGGGATTTTAATTTTAAGCTCCATGCTTTTGCTTTGCCATGGCCTCTCCCAGCTTGGTATTACCTGTGGATATGAAATACATCCCTAGGTCTGCATAATTAGCATCCAGGTCCAGCCCACAATCAATTAGCTGGCATAAGCCTTGCACTCATTCCTCTGGTTACTCTGCCTATTAAGTCTGTCTTCCTATTGTAACAATGGAATTTATGGATTCCTGGTGGTCTGTACCTGAAAATCAATTTTCACTCAGCATCTTTCTTTTACTTCAATTTTGGTCTTCTTGAGCCAATGCAAGGATTTTTGTCAGCTCTTTAGAAAATCGGGAACTGTATCTCTTCTTTAGACCTGTTCTCAGCACATTGGTGAGCTTTCAGAGCATGGTGGCTCCTGGTATTAGGATGACTACTTTTTTCTGAAAGCCTCCACTGAACCTCTGACATATCTCCAGAATCTCCACGGCCCCCAGAATTCACCTGGTCTGACTTCTTGGAAAACCAATCAAGGCTTTGCTCCCTTTTATTCTAAGTAAAATGCTAAGTGCCAAGTCTACACTGCCTAGATTATGCTCTCATTGAGCGGTTTTGTATTTGTCCACCTAGCAGAGGTTCTTGGCCTCTAGGAAGACCATGTGATTTCATTGGAAGAAAGAACATAGAGTTCTGGAATCTTCTTTTGGAATAATTTTTTTTTCTGGCTGTTCCAAGGGTGTACCACTCTTTATTTTACTATCCCTCTAAGAACAAATTTAATTGAAGTGAAAACAGCCTAAGATGTGTGGGTAGTCAAATAGACATGGATTAAGATTGAGGTCCATAGCATTACTATTTATTGACTTTGTGACTTTGGCCACAATTTCATTCTTAGTCTTTTCCGCCGTAAAATGAAGGTAAAAAGACTTATGGTATTGAATTTTAGTAAGCGTTCCTAATAATTGGTCAAGTGCTCAGTATAAATAGTAGGTATAAAAACTCATTAATATAGATAATAACAGTTATAGAGCATATGCCGTATACTATTTCAGGCCATAAACAAAAAATGAATAGGAAATAGTCTTTTACTCTAAAATATCTCCTTATCTGGTGGGACACATAAAGAATAATTCTAATACCACACAGCATCTGGAATAATAGAGTAAGCACAAAGTCTTAAAGGAGTCTTAAACAATGATTGATTCCTTTTAGGTGGTAGCAGAAGTGCCACCTGAGCTGGAGTTTTCTAAAAAATGAAGGACATTTTGGGCAGCAAGAACATTATGAACAAAGGAATGGAGATATGAAACAATGTTCTGGCTTTTGAAATAGTGGATGAAATCCAGTTTCTAGTAGGGTAATGGTAGCTGCCAAAAGCCAAATCTCTCCACATTCCCTCCAAAAAGCACACATATCAATAAGGAAAGCAAATAAAACCACCCAAAGTTCATGCCTAAAGCACATAAAAGACAAGAATACCACAAGCTCAATTTTTGTGTAAGCAGGGAGTGGGAGGCAGACTAATGTCTCCCTCCCCAAAGATGATGCTCACATCCTAATCTCTGGAAACTGTGAATATATTAGTTTACAAGGCTAAAGGGGAATTAAAGTTGCAGAGGAAATTAAGGCTGATAATGAGATGACTATGATATGGGGAGATTATCATGGACTATCCAATTGGGCCCAATGTAATCACAAGAGTCTTTTTAAGTAGAAGAGGGAGGGAGAAGAGAAAGACCATAGAGGTGGCCATATGATGGCCGGGGGCAGTGGCTCATGCCTGTAATCCCAGCACTTTGGGAGGCCGAGGCAGGCAGATCACCTGAGCTCAGGAGTTCGAGACCAGCCTGGGCAACATGGCGAAACTTAAAATATAAAAATTAGCCAGGGTGGTGACGTGCGCTTGTAGTCCCAACTATTTGGGAGGCTGAGGCAGGGGAATTGCTTGAACCCAGGAGGCAGAGGTTGCAGCGAGACGAGATCCTCTCACTGCACTCCAGCCTGTGCAACAGAGCAAGACTCCATCTCTAAAGCGAAACTCCGCCTTGGGGAGGAAAAGAAAAAAAGGTGGCCATGTGAGAAGGACTCAGCAAGACTTTGCTGGCTTTGAAGATGGAAGAATGTGGCCAAAAGCCTAGGGATGAATATGGCTTCTAGAATCTATAATAAACAAGGAAACATTATTTCCCAGAGCCTCTAGAAGGACTGCGTTTTGCTTTTGCCTCGGTTTTAGCCCAGTAAGACCCATTTTAGACTTCTGATCTTTGGAATTGTAGGTTAATGCATTTATATTATTTTAAGCCACTAATTTCTGGTAATTTGTTACAGCAGCCGTAGGAAATTAACATGTAGGAAAATAAACGTTTCAATGCCCAGGTATACTCTGAGGTCAAGCCAGAGAAGAGTTGGGCAGAGACTTCAAAAACGATGAAGGAGGGGTTAGGAAGGTCCTAGCATCAGTGGAATAGAATAAAATTACTCTTATAAAGAGGGAAACCTACCCTTAGTGGAGAAATACTGAGAATGGGTCTGAGACAAAATGCATTAGAGCACTGGTTGCTAGAAAATCAAAGCATAGGAGATTTAGGAGATGGAGGCTGCAGTGAATTATGATTGCATCACTATATTTCAGCCTCATCCTGTCTCCAGAAAAAAAAAAAAATAGGGGATTTAAAGTTTATGGTACTAAGGGCAGCCATTTGAGAAGCCATTGTTTTTGGAGAGGAGAGGGCCAATTTAGAGGGAGCTGTCTCGTACAGGCTTGTTGATATGGGAAGAAGAGAGCAAGCTATGCAAATAAAGAATACTTCTGAAACAAAAGATAATCGTAAAATCGGAAGGCACACCAACTCACCCTCAATCCAAATAACAGACTTTTGATTAAAAGATTATTGATTAAAGAAGTTAATCTCACTGTAACAATGAAAGAGGGAGCTTTTGAATGAAAAAAATCCGACAAGGCATCCAAATTCATCACTTCTGCCTACACAAACTAGTTATTACTGGTAGGAAAATATAAGACATTGAAAACCAAATAGCAAATAGAATTTACTAGAATATGAGAATAAGACAAAGCAAAAAGAAAAAAAGAAAAAATGTATTCCCCTAAAATTAATCATGAAGCACAAGAAAACTGACACATTATCACAAGCTGAAGTGAATATTCTTAAGCAAGTAAACATAAAAAAACTTCCTCAAATCAAAAATTTAGAATTGAGATGGACAGAACACTCCAGAAGATGAGAAATTAATATTGATTAAATTCAGAAAAGAATTAGAAGAGAAAGAGAATCATCACTGAAATAGATATTTAATAAAATGAAAGGTACTTAAGAAGTATAAATTCAAACTGCAAATGCAACAGAGGAATTGGGAAATGGAAATGCAACAGCCAAGACAATAACAACAAAAAATGGAAGGTAAAAATGTTAAAAGAAAAAGTAATAGATCTAGAAGATAGATAAAGAAGGCTCAAAATGTCTGTAATTAGAGTTTCTGAAAAATTAAAACAACACAATGAAACAGAACTTATATTCAAAACTATAATTCAAGAAAACTGTCTGGACAATAAATGATCTAAACTTACCTATTGAAAGGGCCTGCCATATACCTGGGAAAGTTGGCCCAGAACAGTCAACACTGAGTCACAGATAACAATAAATTTTTAAATATCAAATGGACCTCCTGGCAAAAAGACAAATGCACTTAAAAAAATCCGGATTGGCATCAAAATTCTCAACAGCAAAACACAAAGAAAGACAACAGTAGAACTATTTTCAAGAAACTTAAACAAATAAAGCGTTAGCAAAGTATTTTGTATCTGGCTAACTTGTATTATAAAATCAAGGTTAAGGAAAAGTAGTTTTAAACACATAAGAATTGCAGGAATACTGCACTTACAAGCTCTTCCTGAAGAATCTAATAGAGGATAAACTTCATTCAACCAAATTATGATTGAGGAGAGTTTGGCACATTGGGAAACAGTAAACATATATATTTTTAGATTATAGAATTAAAAAATACGGAGTCAAGGTCTGAAATCAAAAGAAGTGATGTGAATTTTATGTTTTTACAAAATAGAAGTAGCATAACTAAATTATGGGAGAAGAGAGGGAAAACCACAACATGATAACACCTCACTCCTGCAAAAATGGCCATAATAAAAAAAAATGATATATGTTGGCATGGATGTGGTGAAAAGGGAACATTTTTATACTGTTGGTGGGTATGTAAACTAGTACAACCACCATGGAAAACAGTGTGGAGATTTCTTAAAGAACCAAAAGTAGATCTGTCATTTGATCCAGCAATCTGACTCCTGGGTATCTACCTAGAGGAAAGGAAATCATTATATGAAAAAAATACTTCCACATACATGTTTTTTTAAATTTTATTATTATTATTATACTTTAAGTTTTAGGGTACATGTGTACAATGTGCAGGTTAGTTACATATGTATACATGTGCCATGCTGGTGTGCTGCACCCATTAACTTGTCATTTAGCATTAGGTATATCTCCTAAAGCTATCCCTCCCCGCTCCCCCGACCCCACAACAGGCCCCAGAGTGTGATGTTCCCCTTCCTGTGTCCATGTGTTCTCATTGTTCAATTCCCACCTATGAGTGAGAATATGCGGTGTTTGGTTTTTTGTTCTTGCGATAGTTTACTGAGAATGATGATTTCCAATTTCATCCATGTCCCTACAAAGGACATGAACTCATCATTTTTTATGGCTGCATAGTATTCCATGGTGTATATGTGCCACATTTTCTTAATCCAGTCTATCATTGTTGGATATTTGGGTTGGTTCCCAGTCTTTGCTATTGTGAATAGTGCCGCAATAAACATACGTGTGCATGTGTCTTTATATCAGCATGATTTATAGTCCTTTGGGTATATACCCAGTAATGGGATGGCTGGGTCAAATGGTATTTCCACTTCTAGATCCCTGAGGAATCGCCACACTGACTTCCACAATGGTTGAACTAGTTTACAGTCCCACCAACAGTGTAAAAGTGTTCCTATTTCTCCACATCCTCTCCAGCACCTGTTGTTTCCTGACTTTTTAATGATTGCCATTCTAACTGGTGTGAGATGGTATCTCATTGTGGTTTTGATTTGCATTTCTCTGATGGCCAGTGATGGTGAGCATTTTTTCATGTGTTTTTTGGCTGCATAAATGTCTTCTTTTGAGAAGTGTCTGTTCATGTCCTTTGCCCACTTTTTGATGGGGTTGTTTCATTTTTTCTTGTAAATTTGTTTGAGTTCGTTGTAGATTCTGAATATTAGCCCTTTGTCAGATGAGTAGATAGTGAAAATTTTCTCCCATTTTGTAGGTTGCCTGTTCACTCTGATGGTAGTTTCTTTTGCTGTGCAGAAGCTCTTTAGTTTAATTAGATCCCATTTGTCAATTTTGGCTTTTGTTGCCATTGCTTTTGGTGTTTTAGACATGAAGTCCTTGCCCATGCCTATGTCCTGAATGGTAATGCCTAGGTTTTCTTCTAGGGTTTTTTATGGTTTTAGGTCTAAGGTTTAAGTCTTTAATCCATATTGAATTAATTTTTGTATAAGGTGTAAGGAAGGGATCCAGTTTCAGCTTTCTCCATACGGCTAGCCAGTTTTCCCAGCACCATTTATTAAATAGGGAATCCTTTCCCCATTGCTTGTTTTTCTCAGGTTTGTCAAAGATCAGATAGTTGTAGATATGTGGCGTTATTTCTGAGGTCTCTGTTCTGTTCCATTGGTCTATATCTCTGTTTTGGTACCAGTACCATGCTGTTTTGGTTACTGTAGCCTTGTAGTATAGTTTGAAGTCAGGTAGCGTGATGCCTACAGCTTTGTTCTTTTGGCTTAGGATTGACTTGGTGATGCGGGCTCTTTTTTGGTTCCATATGAACTTTAAAGTCGTTTTTTCCAATTCTGTGAAGAAAGTCATTGGTAGCTTGATGGGGATGGCATTGAATCTATAAATTACCTTGGGCAGTATGGCTATTTTCATGATATTGATTCTTCCTACTCATGAGCATGGAATTTTCTTCCATTTGTTTATATCCTCTTTTATTTCCTTGAGCAGTGGTTTGTAGTTCTCCTTGAAGAGGTCCTTCACATTCCTTGTAAGTTGGATTCCTAGGTATTTTATTCTCTTTGAAGCAATTATGAATGGGATTTCACTCATGATTTGGCTCTCTGTTTGTCTGTTATTGGTGTATAAGAATGCTTGTGATTTTTGTACATTGATTTTGTATCTTGAGACTTTGCTGAAGTTGCTTATCAGCTTAAGGAGGTTTTGGACTGAGACAGTGGGGTTTTCTAGATTTACAATCATGTCATCTGCAAACAGGGACAATTTGACTTCCTCTTTTCCTAATTGAATACCCTTTATTTTCTTCTCCTGCCTGATTGCCCTGGCCAGAACTTCCAACACTATGTTGAATAGGAGTGGTGAGAGAGGACATCCCTGTCTTGTGCCAGTTTTCAAAGGGAATGCTTCCAGTTTTTGCCCATTCAGTATGATATTGGCTGTGGGTTTGTCATAGATAGCTCTTATTATTTGGAGATACATCCCATCAATACCTAATTTATTGAGAGTTTTTAGCATGAAGGGCTGTTGAATTTTGTCAAAGGCCTTTTCTGCATCTATTGAGATAATCATGTGGTTTTTGTCTTTGGTTCCGTTTATATGCTGGATTACATTTATTGATTTGCGTATATTGAACCAGCCTTGCATCCCAGAGATGAAGCCCACTTGATCATGGTGGATAAGCTTTTTGATGTGCTGCTGGATTCGGTTTGCCAGTATTTTATTGAGGATTTTTGCATCAATGTTCATCAAGGATATTGGTTTAAAATTCTCTTTTTTGGTTGTGTCTCTGCCCGGCTTTGGTATCAGGATGATGCTGGCCTCATAAAATGAGTTAGGGAGGATTCACTCTTTTTCTATTGATTGGAATAGTTTTAGAAGGAATGTTACCAGTTCATCCTAACTACATGGAAACTGAGCAACCTGCTCCTGAATGACTACTGGGTACATAACGAAATGAAGGCAGAAATAAAGATGTTCTTTGAAACCCACGAGAACAAAGACACAACATACCAGGATCTCTGGGACACATTTAAAGCAGTGTGTAGAGGGAAATTTATAGCACTAAATGCCCACAAGAGAAAGCAGGAAAGATCCAAAATTGACACCCTAACATCACAATTAAAAGAACTAGAAAAGCAAGAGCAAACACATTCAAAAGCTAGCAGAAGGCAAGAAATAACTAAAATCAGAGCAGAACTGAAGGAAATAGAGACACAAAAAACCCTTCAAAAAATTAATGAATCCAGGAGCTGGTTTTTTGAAAGGTTCAACAAAATTGATAGACCTCTAGCAAGACTAATAAAGAATAAAAGAGAGAAGAAGCAAATAGATGCAATAAAAAATGATAAAGGGGATATCACCACCGATCCCACAGAAATACAAACTACCATCAGAGAATACTATAAACACCTCTACGCAAATAAACTAGAAAATCTAGAAGAAATGGATAAATTTCTCGACACATACACTCTCCCAAGACTAAACCAGGAAGAAGTTGACTCTCTGAATAGACCAATAACAGGCTCTGAAATTGTGGCAATAGTCAATAGTTTACCAACCAAAAAGAGTCCAGGACCAGATGGATTCACAGCCGAATTCTACCAGAGGCAGTTACCTGTTTAAAGCAGCACAATTTGCAACTGCAAAAATATGGAACCAGTCCAAATGTCCATCAATCAATGAGTGGATAAAGAAAATGTGGTACATATATACTGTGAAATGCTATTCAGCCATAAAAAGGAATAGAATAATGGCATTTGCGGCAACCTGGATGGAATTGGAGACCATTATTGTTAGTGAAATAACTCAGGAATGGAAAACCAAACATCGTATGTTCTAACTCATAAGTGGGAGCTAAGCTATGAGGACAAAAAGGCATAATAACAATACAATGGACTTTGGGGACTCAGGGAAAAGGATCCAAGGGGGTGAGGGATAAAAGACTGCACATTATGTACAGTGTACACGCTCAGGTGATAGGTGCACCAAAATCTCAGAAGTCACCACTAAAGAACTTATTAATATAACCAAACACCACCTGTTCCCCAAAAACCTATTGAAGTAAAAAAGGCAGAAAAGAAAGTTTAAAAAAGCTCAATGTGGTTTTGATTTGCATTTGTCTAATGATCAGTGATGTTGAGCTTTTCTTCATATGTTTGTTGGCCACATAAATGTCTTCATTTGAGAAGTATCTGTTCATGTCCTTTGCCCACTTTTTAATGGGGTTGTTTGTTTCTTGTAAATTTGTATAAGTTCCTTGTAGACTCTGGATATTAGATTTTTGTTAGATGAATAGATTGCAAAAATTTTCTCCTGTTCTGTAGGTTGTCTTCACTCTGATGATAGTTTCTTTTTGCTGTGCAAAATCTCATGCCAGTCAGAAGGATGATTATTAAAAAATCAAGAAACAACAGATACTGGTGAAGTTGTGGAGAAAAAGGCACACTTTTACACTGTTGGTGGGAGTCTAAATTAATTCAAACATTGTGGAAGAC
This sequence comes from Homo sapiens, assembly GCF_000001405.40. Taxonomy (NCBI): domain Eukaryota; kingdom Metazoa; phylum Chordata; class Mammalia; order Primates; family Hominidae; genus Homo; species Homo sapiens. Next base: position 106,170,335 of record NC_000009.12, read on the forward strand.
AGTGTGGCAATTACTCAAGGATCTAGAAGCAGAAATACCATTTGACCCAGCAATCCCATTACTGGGTATGTTCCCAAAGGAATATACATTAGTTTGTTATAAATATACATGCATGCATTTGTTCATTGCAGCACTATTCACAACAGCAAAGCCATGGAATCAGCCCAAATGCCCATCAATGATAGACTGGATAAAGAAAATGTGGTACATATATACCATGGAATACTATGCAGCCATAAAAAGGAATGAGATCATGTCCTCTGCTGCAGGGACATAGATGTAGCTGGAAGCCATTATCTTCAGCCAGCTAATGCAGGAACAAAAAACCAAACACCATGTGTTCTCACTTATAAGTGGGAGCTGAATGATGAGAACACATGGACACATGGGGGCGAGCAACACAGACTGGGGCCTGTCGCGGGGGAGGGAGAGCATCAGGCACAACAGCTAATGGATTCTTGGCTTAATACCTAGGTGATGGGTTGATAGGTTTAGCAAACCACCATGGCACACATTTACCTATGTAACCTGCACATTCTGCACATGTCCCCCAGAACTTAAAATAACAGTTGAAGAAAAAAAAAAAAGCTCAATGATGAGTCCATACATAGGTGATATAAGAGTCAGAGGATATGTTTAAAGATGAAAATCCAAATAGTAGAAGCCTAAGTAAGAAAAAGAAATGTTACAAAGGGCATGATATGATGGTGGCTACTAGAACAAAAAATAAAAAATTTCTTAAAATACCAAAAGAAACATAAAAAAGAGAAAAAAAAGATTCCATCAAAAATATTTTACAATACAGACCATGTGCTAAATTTTATGTAGGAAAAAAAGAGAAAATAGGAAAAACTGAGATAAAAAAGGGTTAAATCCAGGACATTTGAATCTACAGCACACTCTTCAGCTTAGAGAGACATAAGGTCTTGTAGAGAATGTTACATTCTGTAATGCCTATGTCTCTTAAATGCACTTATAGATTTAAATAATTATCAATCAAAATCTCAGTAGAATTTCTTACATCATCAGTTGTTAAATTCATCTGAAAAATCAAAGAATGATGAACAGACTAGTGTACCACATATTAAAATAAAGAAAATATGCAATAATTAAAATAGATGATATAATCTAATTAAACATAAGAAATGTAAGAAGTGAAAATGTAATATAATATATATAAATTAGAGAATAGAAAAATCTATAAATAGTTGGCCGTCTATTTTGAAAATAAAATTATATTCATGCCTCATGCCAAACAGCATTAAATATCTAGCCAGTGAACATATTAGAAAATAGAAATGATATCACATTTCTGGAGTGATGCTGGCATTGTAAGCCTTGAGATAGTAGGTTAAATCACAAAATTAAAGATAGTTAGATTTGACCATCTGAGATAAAATATCTGTTCAGGAAAAAAAATACAGTAACAATATAGTATGAGAAAACATTTACAACAAGCATGATAATGGCTAATGTCTTCATTATATGTCACAAAGAAGTTGAAAAAAAAAATCTGAAGACCCTCAAAGGTAATCATGCAAAATTTATAAAAAATGTTCAACCATACTAGTTTAGTAAATAACTTGTATTTTTTCTACCTATTAGAGTAGTATGAGTTTGGAAAATATATTAGTTGAGATTGCAGTCAAACTGTCACCTATACTTAATAGTGGCATGGTAGATGGATATACACCTTTTAGAAAACAATATGAAAAATTAATGTAAATGAGAAATTCTAAAATATACAGACATTTTGAATTTGTAATTTTGTTTCTGTGAATTTTTATCCTAGGGAAAATAAGAGGAAAAAGGAAGGTGTTAACTACAGTGTCATTTATGCTAGAGTCTGGAAACAATCTAAATACCCAGCAATAGAAGAAATTGTTATAAAATTATAATAAATTGATTTAGAAGATTATTATGTGATAATTGTAAAATACTGAGCAATATAAAGACATTCTAAATATATACCAAGTAAAAATAATTCAAAATGGTATGCGTTCTGGGGTAATCAACTATCTGATCATAGATAAAGATAGGAAGCAAACAAGAAAATAAAAATGGTTTGTTTTGTTAAAAATGTGACTTTAAAAGTCTTTGGTACTTTACTTTTTAGTTGTGATTATATTATTGTGCAATACATTATATGACAATCCTCATGACATTATCTCTGGCTTAATTCTATTTCTATTAAAGGAATTTGCTTGTTATATTTAAATTGTATGCTTACTCAGTTTATTCATTAGATTGTAAGCTGCCTGAGGGTATCTCTAACATGAGGACAATGCCTAGCACACAGTAAATCTTCATTTGTTATTCAGCAAATAAGTGATTATAGTTGCAGTTAATAGTAAACTGAAGTTTGGAATGATGGGAGGAAGATATTCTCCTAAAATGAGGTAAGTAATGGCTGTAATGTCTCAATCACAGGCTCATTTCTTATGTGGTACTCTAAGCCATTTTTTTTTCTTTTGGTCCTGTTGTATGTTGGAGGTGAGATGGGATAGGCAGTGGAGAGAACTAAAGCAGCAAAGGAGAAAAGAGAAATCCTAGTTAATACGAATTTACTTATAGGCAATTTGAAAGAAATTGCTTTGTATTCTTACTTTTCCAGCATGATATCACTTCTCCTAGCCACTAGTTGGGCGTGTAAAACAAATGAATCTTCCTTTTGCTAGCAATACAGAAAGCCCTGTTTGTGAATCTGAGTTAGGACTTTGACCTTAATCTAGATTTTGGTGTCTGGGAAAAATAGTGTAAAGGGACACGTTTTCTTTCCACCTCTCTGTATTTTATCTTTGGGTCAAATTAGACCCTTCAGAATGCTTTGCTTTCCTTTCTTTCCTCCTCCTACTCTCCCTCTTCCTATTTTCTCTCTTCTCCTTTTTATTTTCTCTCTTCTCCTCTTATTTTTTATTCTTCTCTACATCTTTCTCCTTCTCCTCCCTCATCCTTATTTTCTTACCCTCTCTCCTCCCCCTTCTTGTTCTCCTTCTTCTTTCCTGTTATGTTTATATCATCCTCTTCCTTTTCTTCCTTTTTGATGCCTCAGTTACTAGAAATTTTGAAACTAAAAACACTTGTAACCAATTATAATATGGTTGTAAGAATTTTTATATTCCTTGTCATTGTCATAATTTTTTCCTATTTTTTTTCCTGGGCTCTATTTAATTACACATCCCTGGAATTAGACTGACATGATTTGACACCGGCTCTCCCCACCTTGCTCTCCGAGCCTATTATTTTCTTATTTGTAAAATGGGCATAACCTACCCATCTTCCTGTCTGTTATGAAGGTTAAATAATCAAAAGGCGCTGTGACATACTTTGTTCAATAAATCTTTGTTGCCGTCCTCCTTTCTTGTTAATTATATCAAGTCTTTTCTTCGTAAAGGGATGGGATTTAAATGATTACTAAACTATCTAATTGTTAAGGGCATAGCAATATACCAGATGTGTGTTGTGTTTTTAGGGGATGGGGATAATAACAAAAACCATGCTACCTACCTTCAAACTACTCCCAGGCCTGCAGCGAAGAGAGTAAGGTGACTTGTTTTCAATTAAATAAGATATCCTGTTCTATGAGGCAGTGCAAGAAAAAACTGTGTGCATTTTTTTTTTTAAATTGTGGCTCAGGGAACGTGAAGTAAACAAAGGCTTCTTGACTACAGTTTGACCCTGTCAGATATTTGTAAGCTTTTGGACATCAGTAGTGATTTGTTCTCCCACTTCTGGCTTACGACTTCTGCCACTTAGCAGGAGCCCTCACCTTCTGCCAGACCAACATGGGAAAAGGAAGACTCATCTCTGGACAGGGAGCATGAATGTGTTGTGTGTGAAAGATGGAAAGATTGAAAGGAAGTTATCTCCTTTTAGCCAGGTAACAAATAGGTGCTGGTCCATGGGCCACACTGTGAATATCATTGGAGTAAACAATGAACAAATGAACAAATAGGAGTATGTAAGGTGATGCTAAGAGAAGAGGCACAAAAGTATTCACAATTGGGAGGGAGACAGATCCCAGGGCTCCTTGAAGAGGTTCTCCCTCACTACTCATGTCCTGCTTATCACACACTTGCACAGTTGGATTTCTTTTCAGGTGTGCAAATATATAAGCTTTTAAGTCATGAATAGTATGTACCTTATCTGCACTGTTGGGCTTTCACCCTAGACAGCCGTTTGTTTTTATGTGTTGTTCTCCTCCAGTGAACTGTGAGATCCAAGAAGGCATTGTTTGTGCCTTATTCAGGTTTGAGTCTCAGAGGCCAGTTCAGGGCCAGGGCCATAGTAAGGGTTTAGTAAATATTTGATAAAAATAATCCCGCTCTTCTGGAGCTTACAGTCCAGGAGGGGTGAAGTCAACCAGGGCTGCTCAGATGATCTTTGATAAAGGACCAATTAAAATTTTTTTTTTTAGATTTCCAATGTATTTAAGCTGGTATTTTGAAAACATAAAAAAGACATACAAAACACAAACCCGAATTTTTTATTATTAGATTCTACAGACATGAACTTCCCCTGTCAAGCTGCTAAGCAAGTTTCAAAGTAGTGTGTGTTTGTGTGTGTTTGTGTGTGTGTTTCTGGTTTGCAGACTGGTGGCAATCCATGGACCACACTTTACAATGGAATATGTCATTTATTGAGATTACACAGTTGAAGAATATAGCATATATACAAATATATTCATAATATGCAGGTGTTGTGAAAATGCTAGAGGGTGAAATGAAACTCAGCAATGGGATAGAGAATGATGGTGCTGGAGTATGGTATTGCTTTCTTGAGGGAAGTTGGGGGACTTCTCTGATTCGAGGTTTGAGCAGGGAATGGGATAAAGTGAAAGAGTGAGCCTTGCAGATATCAAAGGAAGAGTTTCAGAGACAGAAAACAATATAAGCAGAGATTCTGAGGTAAGATTAGTGCTATGTTTTAGGAGTGGGGTCAAGGGAAAAGATGGGTTAAATTACCAGGGCCTAATAGATTATTACAAGAACTTGCGATTTTATTCAGAGCCATTGTAGGGTTTTGAGCAAAGATGTGACATGATCTGAACTATAAATGTGGCCATAGTGCTACTCTGTGTAGAATAGACCATAGGAGGGAAAGTAAGGAGGCTCTTGAAATAATCTATAGGACTAATGATGGTGGCTTGGCCAGGGAGGTAGCAGGGGAGATGGTAAGAAGTAGTTGGAGTATGAATTAACCTCGAAGACAGAGCCACCAATGTTGGCTGATAGGTTGGATGCAGACTGTGCATTAAAAGGGTCAGGGCTGACTACAAGGATTTTAGTTAGGGAAATGGCCATTTGCTGTCATTTATTGAGATTAGACAGTTGAAGAATAGAGCAAGGTTTGCAGTTGGAGCATGAATGGGAAACAATCGTTCTGGTCACGTTAAATTTAGGATATTTAGTTCACATACAAAGCAGATGTTGAGTAAGCGTTTGGGTGTATAAGACTGGAGTTCAAAGGAAATGCCAAAACTGGAGACACAGAATTGGAAATCAGGAGTGTATGGATGGAATTTACAGCGACAGGACTGAATGAAGTCACCTAGGAAATGAATGCAGATAGAGAAGTAAATAGGTCTGATGCCTATGTCTTTGGGCTCCTCCACATTTAAGAGGTCTGAGAGATGAGGAAGAACTAGCAGAGGAGACTGAGAAAGAGTGGCCACCTCAGAATAAGGTCACAAAATTAACAGTTTACTCAACAACTAGTTACTAATCTCCTAGTCTTATGTTCAGGACACTGTAAGAGAAGCAATATTTCGGAAAGGTTTACATGCCCATAAAATGGTTAACTTTTCAGGAAAAAAAGTTTTCATCTTTAAAAGACTAAATTCTGAACTCTTTCTTTTTTTTTTTTTTTTAAATTTACTTTAAGTTCTGGGATACATGTGCAGAATGTGCAGGTTTGTTACATAGGCATACATGTGCCGTGGTGGTTTGCTGCACCCATCAACCCGTCATCTAGGTTTTAAGCCCCACATGCATTAGCTACTTGTCCTAATGCTCTGCCTCCCCTTTCCCCCCGACACATCCTGGTGTGTGATGGTTCTCTCTCTGTGTCCATGTGTTCTCATTGTTCAATTCCCACTTACGAGTGAGAACATGTGGTGTTTGGTTTTCTGTTCCTGTGTTAGTTTGCTGAGAATTATGACTTCTGGTTTCATCCACGTCCCTGCAAAGGACGTGAACTCATTCTTTTTATGGCTGTATAGTATTCCATGGTGTATATGTGCCACATTTTCTTTATCCAGTCTGTCATTGATGGGCATTTGTCTTGATTTCAAGTCAAAGACTAAATTCTGAACTCTTTCAAACCCAGCTATCTGGAATCATTTACCCTTCAGGAATACCAGGTAACCAAATGGATGCTTTTAAATTTTAGATTTATAAGACAGGCTACACTACACAAAATATTTTCTCATAGACTATCTCTTTTGAGCTTTACAACAAACCTCCTACATAAGCAGAGCTTTGTTTCGAATCTTCATTTTATTTTAGAGAAACTAAGGAAACAGATGGAAAGATGAATAAGTGGTGAACCTGGGTCTGAGTCCTAAGCTTCCCTCACAAGCTCTCAGGGCTTTTTCCTTGATTTTTCTCCCACTCCCACAGAAATAATAAAATACTTTATGGCCACTGGGGAGCAAATAGCCTTCAGGGCCAATCAGGATCTGTAGTTTTGTTCCTTCTGGAAAAATGCATTCCAATTTCTAAGCAATTGACTTGAAACAAACAGTGGGAACCTAGCCTGGTGGTAAGTTAGAGACTATTTTCTCTGTGTTTCCACAGTACCTAGCTTTCTGAGAAAGGGCAGTTTGTGATGAACATGTTAATTCTCTTCTTTGTCAGCCTAGTTTTCCCTCCTGTATTCCACTTTCTAGCCAATAGTGTCACCACAGATAGAAACATCAGTCATTTAAGGCTACACTTTCTTTTCCATCTTTGGCATCTCATGAGTTACCAAATTCAGCCTATTCTATGTCCTGAACCCCTCTGGCTGTCCCTGCTTCTATGCTAGTGCCCTAGTTTCAGCTCCTCATCTCTCACCTGCACTACTGCCATGGCCTACGCACTGGCCTCCCTGCCACCTGGCTTCCTGCCTCTAATCAACTTTCTACAATCCAGCCAAAGGGCTTTCTAAATGCAAATCTAGCCCTATTAAAACTGACCCTATTTAAAAGCCTCTAGTGCTTCCAGTTGCTCTTGGGATAAGATCCAAACTCTTTAGAATGGCATATCAGGACTTTCAGAATTTGCACATGGGATACAAAAATGAAAAATATACAGTACCATCTTCAATGAGCCCACAGTTTAATCATGAAGGCCAATGTATACACAAATAATTTTAATGCACTATGAAAAATGTTCTCAGAATTATGTGAAAATGTAAACAAAAACTAAAATAAAGGGTAGAATTTGTAATACTTCTATTATCATGTAAGAGGTAGGACCACAAGAGAGAAATTAAGGCTGTTAAGAGGGCATTCTCTGAAGTCATCTGTTTACTTAGTTTACCCACTCTGTGAAGCAAATTTAACCGTTACTATCTAATAGGTTCTTACCCCTGTAGACACATGCATATCTTGCATAGTACCTAGACAGGTTCTTTAACTTGGGAATCAAAGAACAAAAGGGCTTGTTGAAAATGTCTTATTGCATGAGAATTATACCTATTTCATTATACAGTCCTGCCCCAGTATAATTCTGAATACCATGTTGTGAAACTCTGATATTTATCTCCAGTTCTCCCTCATATAAAAGCCCTAAGCCAGTGGGGCAATATAAATGGCTTTGCTGCTTGCATTGTTTCATTTCCGCTTTTCCTCTTTAGGATGGTCTGTGTCATTCTGAACTGAGATGCCCCTTTTTCATTTCAGGGTCCTTAACTCAATATTTTTAAAGTCATTAGCTTTGGCTCATGCGTTTATTTGAAGTAAGTCGTTATGCTTGGGCTTTAAAAAACAATTCATTCCTGTGTTTCTGCTCTTCATGTCTTCATAAGATATGAAGGCTTTATTATAGCCTTCATAAGGCCATTACCCAGTTTCTCTATGAATGATTATAGTGCTATAATACTAGATTGTGTTCCTTAAACCACTACATATAAGAAAAGTAAATTCCTGTTTAGATTATGGGCTGAAAGAGGAATCATCATACACAGTAACATACCTTCATAACCTCATTACATTTCTCAGGGGATACAGCTCAGTGGAATTAATCTTAAATCAAGTATTTCCCACTGTCTATTTTCTAGAACACTAATGCTGATGAGTACCCAGGGAAATAGTCAAATAAGCCTACATATTATGTAAAAAACTCTACATATTATGTCTGATCTTGAAGAGTCATATTGCATAGACATCTTAGAGGTCAGTAAAAGAAGCAGTACAGAACTATAGTGACTTATGTTTAGCCCAATGCTTATCAAACTTGCTTGACCCAGAACTCATTATGTGCTGCACCTATTAATGATCATTAAAAAATGATGGCCTCCTCACTTATGAAAAGGAGTCCAACTTGGGGTTAAACACCAATAAGCACTGGCTTATTGTTATATTATAATTGTTATTATATATTGTTATATTATAATTGGTTTATTTTTTAATATTTTATTATACAAGGTTTTCAAAATTATAGAAAAATAGATAGCAATGTGTAGTGAAAGCCAGTATCTCCACCATTTAGATTCTACAATGAAAATTTAGCTATGTTTGCTTTATGTAATTGATGGTTTCTCTCTTCCTACCAGATTGGAGTGCCTTAATGATAATTAATTATTTATCTTGATTTCACCAGTACTTAGCATAGTACCAGATACATAACTTGGTAACCAATAGATGTTTGTCCAAATAATGAATGAATGAATGGATAGATGGATTTTTTTTAAATCCCCACAGACATCTTCTTGCTACATCACAGGGTCTAAGCTTTAAGAGAGATCAAAGACTAGCCAAAGCTGTTCCACTGCCTTTCTAAGTCTGGACAAATATTAACTTAGAATAAGGTGCAGATCCTGAGATAGGCCTTCTCTTGGGAGGGAGGTGGAAGCCTGCAATTTTACTACTGTGAGCTAATGAGTAGCCGACGGAAGTCTGTTTGCATCTCTGCACATAAAATTCATTTTGAGAGGAGGCGGCTTTTGCCAGGTCCAGCAAGCTGTGATGAATAAAATGAAATCAAGAGCTGGTCTACCAAGTCTTGACTACATATTGGATCCTCCCCTTCACAGGTTTCATGCTTTAGTGAGATCCTGGTGTCTTTCCACTCTGATATTTATCTGCCCCTTTTTATTCCTGGAAACCTGATCCTTGTTTTGTCTGACTCTCCACTTTCTTCATTAGTAACTGCAGATGGAAAACAGTTATTTAATATGTCTTTTATCCTTTTATACTTCAGTGTCTGATTACATACCCTGAGTGCTAAGGAAGCAACTACCCTTTTCCTTTTATTTCTTCTCTATTTCTTTTGCAACAAAATCAAAATCAACAAAAATCTTTACTTTTTTCAATTTTAAAATGTACTTCACTTTCCATTCCAATGAACTCCATCCTAACTTTTCTAAGATTTTTTTATCTTGACACTTGTCCTTCCCTCATCCTCCTTTTTTTCCTCTATTCTATTCTTTTTTTCTCCTCTCCCCTTTGATTTTCTTTCTCTGATAGAGTAGAATCCAATGCCGTAAGTTTAGAAGAAATCAAGTTGGGGATTATAACCAAATCGATAAAGTACATTGAATGAGCCTTCAGTAGTCAGGCTAAGGTCTACTGTTTACTTGTTCAAATAGTTTCCACTGTCCTCTGTTTTCCAAACATGCCCCAGGTTTCCCATGGCCTTGTATCTGCCATGTCAATTCCTCTAACTGAACATTGCTTCTGATACACTCTGTTTTATTCCTGTCAAAATATGACTCTTGATTCAAAATTCCATAAAAATCCTTTCTGAAGAAACTTACCCCTTTATCTCTGACCATCCTTAGTATTTACTTCTAACCTTTCATTTAGCACTTATTTCATTCGATATTGTTTTTTTAAAACTATGTAAGTGCATTTGTCACTCAACAAGTCATTTTTATACATAGTTAAATAATTATTTCATTGCTTACAAGACAAAGACAACATATGCAAATGATATACAGTTCAAAAGATACAAAACGGGTAGCTCACTTACGAAAAGTAAGTCTCACTCTAGGTTTCCCAGTCATCCAGTTCTGGAGACAAGGGTTACTAATCCCTTTTGTATCCTTCAGTGTTTTTCTTTCTTTTTTTTTTTTTTTAATTCACTTGATAGCATATCTTATGCACTGTTCTGTACCTTGCTTTTTAAACTTCACTCTTTATTAATTATGGTGCCTCATTCTTTTTAAAGACTTCATAATTGTATTTCATGGTAGATATTGCTGAATATGTAGGATGTTTTAAATGTTTTCCAATGAATACTATAGGATAAATTATTAGAAGTGAAATTGCAGGGTAAAAGTGTATTTTTTCTTCTTTGTTTTTTTTTGTTGAGATAAAATTCATATATATAAAGGGTACAACTTGGTAACTTTTGATGAGTGAATACACTCATGTTACTCACCATCTTAGTTGAAAATATAGGACATTTCCATCACCTTGAAGTTCCCTTATACTCCTTCTAGTCTATCCCAGTTCCCCTTTTAGGCAACCATTGTCTTACTTCTATCATCATAGGTTAGCTTTGCCAATTCTTCAACCTTATTTAAATAGAATCGCATAGTATGTACACTTTTGCTCACCATAATGTTTTCAAGTTTCATTTCATGCTGTTGGGTATATCTGTAGTAAATTTTAACAATTTCTGGGTAGTATTACGTTTTATGACTATATTACAACTTTTTCTCATTCTCTTATTGATGGACATTTGAGTTGTTTCCAGTTTGAGGCTATTATGAATAAGCTGGTAAAAACATTCTTGTGAAATTTTTTGGTGAAAATATATTTTCATGTCTCTGGCAAATAAGTAGAATAGAACTTCTATGTCATAGGATACATATGTATGTTTAACTTTGTAAGAGAACTGCCAAACAGTTTCAACATTCCAACAAGCAATATATAATAGTTCACGTTTCTCCTCTTCACCAATATTTGATGTTGTCATTTTTTTATATTATTCATTTGAATGAGTATGAAATTCTATCGTATTGTGGTTTTAAATTGCGTTTCCTTTATGACTAATGGTGTTGAATACCTTTTTTTTTTTAAGCAAAAATACTATGGAACAACATCTTTTTTTTTTTGGATTTATTTTTTTTTATTTTTTATTTTTTTATTATACTTTAAGTTTTAGGGTACATGTGCACATTGTGCAAGTTAGTTACATATGTATACATGTGCCATGCTGGTGCGCTGCACCCACTAACTCGTCATCTAGCATTAGGTATATCTCCCAATGCTATCCCGCCCCCCTCCCCCCACCCCACAACAGTCCCCAGAGTGTGATATTCCCCATCCTGTTTCCATGTGATCTCATTGTTCAATTCCCACCCATGAGTAAGTATATGTGGTGTTTGGTTTTTTGTTCTTGTGATAGTTTACTGAGAATGATGATTTCCAATTTCCTCCATGTCCCTACAAAGGACATGAACTCATCATTTTTTATGGCTGCATAGTATTCCATGGTGTATATGTGCCACATTTTCTTAATCCAGTCTATCATTGTTGGACATTTGGGTTGGTTCCAAGTCTTTGCTATTGTGAATAATGCCGCAATAAACATAAGTGTGCATGTGTCTTTATAGTAGCATGATTTATAGTCCTTTGGGTATATACCCAGTAATGGGATGGCTGGGTCAAATGGTATTTCCACTTCTAGATCCCTGAGGAATCGCCACACTGACTTCCACAATGGTTGAACTAGTTTACAGTCCCACCAACAGTGTAAAAGTGTTCCTATTTCTCCACATCCTCTCCAGCACCTGTTGTTTCCTGACTTTTTAATGATCGCCATTCTAACTGGTGTGAGATGGTATCTCATTGTGGTTTTGATTTGCATTTCTCTGATGGCCAGTGATGATGAGCATTTTTTCATGTTTTTTTCGGCTGCATAAATGTCTTCTTTTGAGAAATGTCTGCTCACGTCCTTCGCCCACTTTTTGATGGGGTTGTTTGTTTTTTTCTTGTAAATTTGTTTGAGTTCATTGTAGATTCTGGATATTAGCCCTTTGTCAGATGAGTAGGTTGTGAAAATTTTCTCTCATGTTGTAGGTTGCCTGTTCACTCTGATGGTAGTTTCTTTTGCTGTGCAGAAGCTCTTTAGTTTAATTAGATCCCATTTGTCAATTTTGGCTTTTGTTGCCATTGCTTTTGGTGTTTTAGACATGAAGTCCTTGCCCATGCCTATGTCCTGAATGGTAATGCCTAGGTTTTCTTCTAGGGTTTTTATGGTTTTAGGTCTAAGGTTTAAGTCTTTAATCCATCTTGAATTAATTTTTGTATAAGGTGTAAGGAAGGGATCCAGTTTCAGCTTTCTCCATACGGCTAGCCAGTTTTCCCAGCACCATTTATTAAATAGGGAATCCTTTCCCCATTGCTTGTTTTTCTCAGGTTTGTCAAAGATCAGATAGTTGTAGATATGTGGCGTTATTTCTGAGGGCTCTGTTCTGTTCCATTGATCTATATCTCTGTTTTGGTACCAGTACCATGCTGTTTTGGTTACTGTAGCCTTGTAGTATAGTTTGAAGTCAGGTAATGTGATGCCTCCAGCTTTGTTCTTTTGGCTTAGGATTGACTTGGCGATGTGGGCTCTTTTTTGGTTCCATATGAATTTTAAAGTAGTTTTTTCCAATTCTGTGAAGCAAGTCATTGGTAGCTTAATGGGGATGGCATTGAATCTATAAATCACCTTGGGCAGTATGGCCATTTTCACGATATTGATTCTTCCTACCCATGAGCATGGAATGTTCTTCCATTTGTTTATATCCTCTTTTATTTCCTTGAGCAGTGGTTTGTAGTTCTCCTTGAAGAGGTCCTTCACATCCCTTGTAAGTTGGATTCCTAGGTATTTTATTCTCTTTGAAGCAATTGTGAATGGGATTTCACTCATGATTTGGCTCTCTGTTTGTCTGTTGTTGGTGTATAAGAATGCTTGTGATTTTTGCACATTGATTTTGTATCCTGAAACTTTGCTGAAGTTGCTTTTCAGCTTAAGGAGATTTTGGGCTGAGACAATGGGGTTTTCTAGATATACAATCATGTCATCTGCAAACAGGGACAATTTGACTTCCTCTTTTCCTAATTGAATACCCTTTATTTCCTTCTCCTGCCTAATTGCCCTGGCCAGAACTTCCAACACTATGTTGAATAGGAGTGGTGAGAGAGGGCATCCCTGTCTTGTGCCAGTTTTCAAAGGGAATGCTCCCAGTTTTTGCCCATTCAGTATGATATTGGCTGTGGGTTTGTCATAGATAGCTCTTATTATTTTGAAATACATCCCATCAATACCTAATTTATTGAGAGTTTTTAGCATGAAGGGTGGTTGAATTTTGTCAAAGGCTTTTTCTGCATCTATTGAGATAATCATGTGGTTTTTGTCTTTGGCTCTGTTTATATGCTGGATTACATTTATTGATTTGCGTATATTGAACCAGCCTTGCATCCCAGGGATGAAGCCCACTTGATCATGGTGGATAAGCTTTTTGATGTGCTGCTGGATTCGTTTTGCCAGTATTTTATTGAGGATTTTTACATCAATGTTCATCAAGGATATTGGTCTAAAATTCACTTTTTTGGTTGTGTCTCTGCCCGGCTTTGGTATCAGGATGATGCTGGCCTCATAAAATGAGTTAGGGAGGATTCCCTCTTTTTCTATTGATTGGAATAGTTTCAGAAGGAATGGTACCAGCTCCTCCTTATACCTCTGGTAGAATTCAGCTGTGAATCCATCTGGTCCTGGACTCTTTTTGGTTGGTAAACTATTGATCATTGCCACAATTTCAGCTCCTGTTATTGGTCTATTCAGAGATTCAACTTCTTCCTGGTTTAGTCTTGGGAGAGTGTATGTGTCGAGGAATTTATCCATTTCTTCTAGATTTTCTAGTTTATTTGCGTAGAGGTGTTTGTAGTATTCTCTGATGGTAGTTTGTATTTCTGTGGGATCAGTGGTGATATCCCCTTTATCATTTTTTATTGCGTCTATTTGATTCTTCTCTCTTTTTTTCTTTATTAGTCTTGCTAGTGGTCTATCAATTTTGTTGATCCTTTCAAAAAACCAGCTCCTGGATTCATTAATTTTTTGAAGGGTTTTTTGTGTCTCTATTTCCTTCAGTTCTGCTCTGATTTTAGTTATTTCTTGCCTTCTGCTAGCTTTTGAATGTGTTTGCTCTTGCTTTTCTAGTTCTTTTAATTGTGATGTTAGGGTGTCAATTTTGGATCTTTCCTGCTTTCTCTTGTGGGCATTTAGTGCTATAAATTTCCCTCTACACACTGCTTTGAATGTGTCCCAGAGATTCTGGTATGTTGTGTCTTTGTTCTCGTTGGTTTCAAAGAACATCTTTATTTCTGCCTTCATTTCGTTATGTACCCAGTAGTCATTCAGGAGCAGGTTGTTCAGTTTCCATGTAGTTGAGCGGTTTTGAGTGAGATTCTTAATCCTGAGTTCTAGTTTGATTGCACTGTGGTCTGAGAGATAGTTTGTTATAATCTGTGTTCTTTTACATTTGCTGAGGAGAGCTTTACTTCCAAGTATGTGGTCAATTTTGGAATAGGTGTGGTGTGGTGCTGAAAAAAATGTATATTCTGTTGATTTGGGGTGGAGAGTTCTGTAGATGTCTATTAGGTCTGCTTGGTGCAGAGCTGAGTTCATTTCCTGGGTATCCTTGTTGACTTTCTGTCTCATTGATCTGTCTAATGTTGACAGTGGGGTGTTAAAGTCTCCCATTATCAATGTGTGGGAGTCTAAGTCTCTTTGTAGGTCACTCAGGACTTGCTTTATGAATCTGGGTGCTCCTGTATTGGGTGCATATATATTTAGGATCGTTAGCTCTCCTTGTTGAATTGATCCCTTTACCATTATGTAATGGCCTTCTTTGTCTCTTTTGATCTTTGTTGGTTTAAAGTCTGTTTTATCAGAGACTAGGATTGCAACCCCTGCCTTTTTTTGTTTTCCATTTGCTTGGTAGATCTTCCTCCATCCTTTTATTTTGAGCCTATGTGTGTCTCTGCACATGAGATGGGTCTCCTGAATACAGCACACTGATGGGTCTTGACTCTTGATCCAATTTGCCAGTCTGTGTCTTTTAATTGGAGCATTTAGTCCATTTACGTTTAAAGTTAATATTGTTATGTGTGAATTTGCTCCTGTCATTATGATGTTAGCTGGTTATTTTGCTTGTTAGTTGATGCAGTTTTTTCCTAGCATCGATGGTGTTTACATTTTGGCATGATTTTGCAGCGGCTGGTACCGATTGTTCCTTTCCATGTTTAGTGCTTCCTTCAGGAGCTCTTTTAGGGCAGGCCTGGTGGTGACAAAATCTCTCAGCATTTGCTTGTCTGTAAAGGATTTTATTTCTCCTTCACTTATGAAGTTTAGTTTGGCTGAATATGAAATTCTGGGTTGAAAATTCTTTTCTTTAAGAATGTTGAATATTGGCCCCCACTCTCTTCTGGCTTGTAGGGTTTCTGCCGAGAGATCTGCTGTTAGTCTGATGGGCTTCCCTTTGAGGGTAACCCAACCTTTCTCTCTGGCTGCCCTTAACATTTTTTCCTTCATTTCAACTTTGGTGAATCTGACAATTATGTGTCTTGGAGTTGCTCTTCTTGAGGAGTATCTTTGTGGCGCTCTCTGTATTTCCTGAATCTGAACGTTGGCCTGCCTTGCTAGATTGGGGAAGTTCTCCTGGATAATATCCTGCAGAGTGTTTTCCAACTTGGTTCCATTCTCCCCATCACTTTCAGGTACACCAATCAGACGTAGATTTTGTCTTTTCACATAGTCCCATATTTCTTGGAGGCTTTGCTCATTTCTTTTTATTCTTTTTTCCTCTAAACTTCTCTTCTCGCTTCATTTCATTCATTTCATCTTCCATTGCTGATACCCTTTCTTCCAGTTGATCACATCGGCTCCTGAGGCTTCTGCATTCTTTACGTAGTTCTCATGCCTTGGTTTTCAGCTCCATCAGCTCCTTTAAGCACTTCTCTGTATTGGTTATTCTAGTTATACATTCTTCTAAATTTTTTTCAAAGTTTTCAACTTCTTTGCCTTTGGTTGAATGTCCTCCCGTAGCTCAGAGTAATTTGATCGTCTGAAGCCTTCTTCTCTCAGCTCGTCAAAGTCATTCTCCATCCAGCTTTGTTCTGTTGCTGTTGAGGAACTGTGTTCCTTTGGAGGAGAAGCGCTCTGCTTTTTAGAGTTTCCAGTTTTTCTGTTCTGTTTTTTCCCCATCTTTGTGGTTTTATCTACTTTTGGTCTTTGATGATGGTGATGTACAGATGGGTTTTTGGCGTGGATGTCCTTTCTGCTTGTTAGTTTTCCTTCTAACATACAGGACCCTCAGCTGCAGGTCTGTTGGAGTACACTGCTGTGTGAGGTGTCAGTGTGCCCCTGCTGGGGGGTGCCTCCCAGTTAGGCTGCTTGGGGGTCAGGGACCCACTTGAGGAGGCAGTCTGCCGGTTCTCAGATCTCCAGCTGTGTGCTGGGAGAACCACTGCTCCCTTCAAAGCTGTCAGACAGGGACATTGAAGTCTGCAGAGGTTACTGCTGTCTTTTTGTTTGTCTGTGCCCTGCCCCCAGAGGTGGAGCCTACAGAGGCAGGCAGGCAGGCCTCCTTGAGTTGTGGTGGGCTCCACCCAGTTGGAGCTTCCTGGCTGCTTTGTTTACCTAAGCAAGCCTGGGCAATGGCGGGCGCCCCTCCCCCAGCCTCGCTGCCGCCTTGCAGTTTGATCTCAGACTGCTGTGCTAGCAATCAGTGAGACTCCATGGGCATAGGACCCTCTGAGCCAGGTGCGGGATATAATCTTGTGGTGCGCCGTTTTTTAAGCCGGTTGGAAAAGCGCAGTGTTTGGGTGGGAGTGACCCGATTTTCCAGGTGCCGTCCGTCACCCCTTTCTTTGACTCCGAAAGGGAACTCCCTGACCCCTTGTGCTTCCCAAGTGAGGCAATGCCTCGCCCTGCTTCGGCTCACGCACGGTTCGCGCACCCACTGACCTGCGCCCATTGTCTGGCACTCCCAAGTGAGATGAACCCGGTACCTCAGATGGAAATGCAGAAATCACCCGTCTTCTGCGTCGCTCAGGCTGGGAGCTGTAGACAGGAGCTGTTCCTATTCTGCCATCTTGGCTCCTCCGGAACAACCTTGAATACCTTTTAATGTGCTTATTGGACATTCCTATATTTCTGTTTTTATAAAGTGTCTGTTTGTCTTCTGCATTTAAAAAAATTGGGATTATTTATCTTTTGCTGCTGATTTATATGCATTTAAAATGTATTTTAGATACAGATCCTTTGTCAGATAAATGTAGATATTTTCTCACAGTCTGTGGCTTTTTTTAAAAAAAATCAGTCTTCTGAAGAGCAGATAATTTTATTTTCAGTGAAGTGTAGTTTATCAATAGTTTTTCTTTCCCCTATTGTGCTCTCTCTAGAAATTTTATTTTAAAAATTTCAACTTTTATTTTAGATTCAGGGGGTAGTTGTTTGTTACAGGTATTGTGCAGTGCTGAGATTTGAGGTACAGTTGAAACTCTTACCCAGGTAGTTAGCATAGTCCCCAGTAGGTAGTTTTTCAACCTTTGCCCTACTTCCCCTGTCATGTAGTCCCCAGTGTCTATTTTCCCCATCTTTACGTGTACCTAATTTTTAGCTACCACTTATAAGTGAAAACATGTGGTATTTGGTTTTCTGTTCCTGCGTTACTTTGATTAGGATAATGGCCTCCAGCTGCATCCATGCTGTGGCAAAGGACATGATTTTGTTCTTTTTTATGGCTGCATCGTATTCCATGGTGTATATGTACCATATTTTCCTTTTACAGTCTACTATTGATGGGCACCTAGGTTGATTCCATATTTTTGCTATTGTGAATAGTGCTGTGATAAACATATTAGCACCTGTGTCTTTGTGGTAGAACAACTTATTTTCCTTTGGACATATACTCAGTAATGCGATTGCTGGGTTGAACGACAGTTCTAATTTTAGTTATTTGAGAAATCTCCAAACTGCTTTCTATAGTGGCTGAACTAATTTACATGTTCATCAACAGTGTATAAGCATTCCCTTTTCTCTGCAGCCTCACTAACATCTGTTATTTTTTGACTCTTTAATAATAGTCATTCTGACTGGTATGAGATGCAATTTCATTGTAGTTTTCATTTGCATTTCTGTGATGTTGAGCATTTTTTCATTCATTTGTTGGCCACTCGTATGTCTATGTCTTCTTTTGAAAGGTGTGTCTGTTTACATCCTTTGCTCACTTTTTAATGGGGTTGTTTTTTGTTTACTTATTTAAGTTCCTTATAGAGTCTAGATATTAGTCCTTTGTCAGATGCCAAAGTCAGTATCCAGAAGGATATTTCCTAAGTTTTTTTTACAGTTTTAGGTCATATATTTAAGTCTTTAATCCATTTTGAGATTATATTTGCATATAGTGATAAGTATTTATCCAATTTCATTCTTCTGCATATGGGTAGCCAGTTATCCGAGAACCATTTATTGAATATGGAGTCCTTTCCCCATTGCTTGTTTTTGTTAACTTTGTTGAAGATCAGTTGGTTGCAGGTGTGTGGCTTTATTTATGGATTTTCTATTCTGTTTCAATCATCTATGTGTCTGTTTTTGTACCAATACCATGCTGTTTTGGTTACTGTAGCTTTGTAGTGTAGTTTGAAGTCAGGTAATGTGATGCCTTCAGCTTTCTTCTTTTTGCTTAGAATCGTCTGGCTACTTGAACTCTTTTTTAGTTCTGTATGAATATTATTTTATATTTTGAAAAGTTTTAATTTTTAATTTTTGTGAGTACAGGGTAGGTGTACATATTTATGGGGTACATGAGCTATTTTGACACAGGCATGCAATGCGTAACAATCACATCAGGGTAAATAGGGTATCCATCACCATCACCTCAAACATTTATCCTTTGTGTTATAAACAATCCAATTATACTTTTATTTTTTAAATGTACAATTAAATTATTGTTGACTATAGTCACCCATTGTGCTATCAAATGCTAGATCTTATTCATTCTTCTCTTTTTTGTGCCCATTAAGCATCCCCACTTCCCCCTACCACCCCACTGCCCTTCCCATCTCTGGTAACCATCATTCTACTCCATATCTTCATAAGTTTAGTTGTTTTAATTTTTAGCTCCCACAAATAGAATATGTGAAGTTTATCTCTCTGGGCCTTGCTTATTTCACTTAACATAATGAACTCCAGTTCTATCCAAGTTGTTACAAGTGACAGGATCTCATTCTTTTTTTATGGCTGAATAGTCTCCAATATGTATATGTGCCACATTTTCTTTATCCGTTAGTCTGTTGACACTTAGTTGCTTCCAAATCTTGGCTGTTGTGAACAGTGCTGCAATAAACATGGGAGTGCAGATATCTCTTTGTTATACTGATTTTCTTTCTTTTGGCTATATACCTGACAGTGGAATTGCTGAATCATATGGTAGCTCAATTTTTAGTTTTTCTGAGGAATCTTCAAACTGTTCTCCATAGTGCTGTTACTAATTTGCATTCTCACCAACAGTGTATGAGGGTTCCCTTTTCTCCATATTCTTGCCAGTATTTGTTATTGCCTGTCTTTTAGACAAAAGCCATTTTAACCGGGATGAAATGATATCTCCTTGTAGTATTGATTTGCATTTCTCTGGTGATCAGTGATGCTGAGCACCTTTTCGTATATCTGTTTGCCATTTGTATGTCTTTTGAGAAATGTCTATTCAGATCTTTTGACCATATTTAAATCTGATTATTAGATTTTTCTCATAGGGTTGTTTTGACACTATATATTCTGGTTATTAGTCCCTTGTCAGCTAGATAGTTTGCAAGTATTTTCTCCAATTCTTTGGGTTGTCTTTTCACTTTGTTGATTGTTTCCTTTTCCATGCAGAAGGCTTTATAACTTGAAGTGGTCCCTTTCTCCATTTTTGCTTTGTTTGCCTATGCTTGTGGGGTATTACTCAAGAAACTTTTACCCATTCCAATGTCCTGGGGAGTTTTCCCAATGTTTTCTTTTAGTGATTTTATAATTTGAGGTCTCAGATTTAAGTTTGTAATCCATTTTTATTTGATTTTTGTACATAGTGAGAGACAGAAGTCTATCGTTCTTCTACATATGGATATCCAGTTTTCTTGGCATCATTTATTAAGGAGATTGTTCTTTCTCCAATATATGTTCTTGGCACCTTTGTTGAAAATGAGTTCACTGTAGATGTATGGATTTGTTTCTGGGTTCTCTATTCTGTTTTCTTGGTCTATGTACATTTTTGCATTACTACCATGCTGCGTTGGTTTCTATAGCTCTGTAGTATAATTTGAAGTCAGATAATGTGATTCCTTCAGTTTTGTTCTTTTTACTTCAGATAGCTTTGAGTATTCTGGGTCTTTTATGGTGCCATATAAATTTTAGGAGTTTTTCTTATTTCTGTGAAGAATATCATTGGTATTTTTATAATGATTGCATTGAATGCGTATATCGCTTTGGGTAGTAGGGTAGTATGGACATGTTTAATAATTTCGATGCTTCCAATCCATGTATATGAAATACCTTTCCATTTTTGGTGTCCTCTCCCATGTCTTTCATCAATGCTTTTTTTTTTTTTTTTTGAGACGGGGTCTCGCTCTGTCACCCAGGCTGGAGTGCAGTGGTGCAATCTCGGCTCAATGCAAGCTCCGCCTCCCAGGTTTACGCCATTCTCCTGCCTCAGCCTCCTGAGTAGCTGGAACTACAGGCACCCGCCACCACACCTGGCTAATTTTTTGTATTTTTAGTAGAGACGGGGTTTCACCGTGTTAGCCAGGATGGTCTCGATCTCCTGACCTCATGATCCACCTGCCTCGGCCTCCTAAAGTGCTGGGATTACAGGCGTGAGCCACCGCGCCCAGCCAATGCTTTACAGTTTTTATTGTAGAGATCTTTCACTTCTTTGTTAAGCTAATTCCATGGTGTCTTATAATATTTGTAGATACGGTAAATGCGATTAATTTCTGGTTTTTCATTGTGGGCATCTAGAAATGCTAGTATTTTTTGTATGTTGATTTTGTATCCTGAAACTTTACAGAATTAGTTTATCAGTTCTTTTTCTTCCTTTTTTTTTTGAGACGGAGTCTTGCACTGTTGCCCAGGCTGGAGTGCAGTGGCACGATCTCGGCTCACCACAAGCTCCACCTCCTGGGTTCACGACATTCTCCTGTCTCAGCCTCCCAAGTAGCTGGGACTACAGCCTCCCGCCACCACGCCCAGCTAATTTTTTGTACTTTTAGTAGAGATGGGGTTTCACTGTGTTAGCCAGGATGGTGTCGATCTCCTGACCTCGTGGTCCTCCCGCCTCAGTCTCCCAAAGTGCTGGGATTACAAGCATGAGCCACTGCACCCGGCCTACTTTATCAGTTCTAATAGTTTTCTTGTGGAGTCTTTAGATTTTTCCAAATATAAGATCATATCATCTGCCAATAAGAATAATTTGACTTCTTCCTTTCCAATTTGGATGCCCTTTATATCTTTCTCTTGTATGATTGCTCTAGCTAGGACTTTCAGTACTATATTGAATAACAGTGGTGAAAACGAGCATCTTTGTCATGTTCCAGATCTTAGAGGAAAGACTTTCAGTTATTTTCCCATTCAATATGACACTAGTTATGGGTCTGTCATGTATGGCTTTTATTATGTTGAGATATGTTCCTTTCATCCCCAGTATTTTGAAGGTTTTTATTATGAAGGGGTGTTGAATTTTATCCAATACCTTTTGGGCATCAATTGAAATAATCATATGTTTTTTTGTCCTTCAACCTGTTGATATGATGTATCATATTGATTGATTTGCCTGTGCTGAACCATCCATGCATCCTTGGGAAAAATCCCAGTTGGTCATGATGAATGATGGTTTTCATGTGTTGTTGAATTAGTTTGCTAGTATTTTGTTGAGAATTTTTAGATCAATGTTCATCAGAGTTACAGGCCTAAAGTTTTCTTTATGTGTCTTTCTTAGATTTTGGCATCAGAGCAATACTGGCCTCATATAAAGAGTTTAGAAGTACTCCCTCCTTCTCTATTTTTTGGAATAGTTTGAGTAGGATTGGTATTAATGCTTTAAATGTTTGGTAAAATTTTGCAGTGAAGCCATTGGGTCCTGGGCTTTTCTTTGCTTAAAGACTTTTTATTATGGCTTCAGTCTTGTTACTTGTTATAGGTCTGTTCAGGATTTGGATTTTTTCATCATTCAATATTGGTAGGTTGTATGTGTCTAGGAGTTATTCATTTCTTCTAGATTTTTTAATGTATTGGCATATACTTGTTCATAGTAGCCTCTAATGAGCCTTTACATTTCTGCTGTATTGATTTTAATGTTTGCTTTTTCATCTCTGATTTTATTTATTTGGGTATTCTTTCTTTTTTTCTTAGTCTGGCTAAAGGTATCAATTTTGTTTAATTTTTTCAAAAGACAAATTTTTCATTTTTAAGAATCTTTTGTATTGTTTCCTTTGTTTCAATTTCATTTATTTCTGCTCTGATCTTTATTATTTATTTTCTTCTAATTTTGGGTGTGGTTTACTGTTGCTTTTATATTTGTTTAAGATGTATTGTTAGATTTTTTTTTTTGAAGTTTTTCTGCCCTTTTGATGTAGGTGCTTATACCTATAAAATTTCCCCTTAATATTGTTTTCACTGCATCCCACAGGTTTTGGTATGTTGTGTTTCCATTTTCATTTGTTTCAAACATTTTTTCAATTTCCTTTTTAATTTATTCATTGATCCACTAGTCATTCAGGAGAATATTGTTTAATTTCTCTGTGTATAGTTTTCAAAATTCCTCTTGTTATTATTGATTTCTAGTTTTATTCCTTTGTGGTCAAAGAAGATACTTGACATGATTCCAGTTTTTTGAATGTTTTCAGACTTGTTTTGTGGCCTGATATAGGGCCTATTTTTGGGAATGATCTATGTGCTGAAGGGAAGAAAGTATATTCTGCAGCCATTCAATGAAATGCTCTGTAAATATCTATTAGATCTATTTGGTCTATAGTACAGATTAAGTCTGATGTTTCTCTGGTGATTTTCTATCTGGATGATCTGTCTGATGTAGAAAGTGCGGTGTTGAAGTCTCAAGTTATTATTCTATTGGGATCTATCTCTCTGTAGCTCTAATAATATTTGCTTTATATATCTGGATGCTCCGTTGTTGGGCACATATATATTTATGAATGTTATATCCTCTTGCTGAATTGACCTCTTTATCATTATACAATGACCTTCTTGGTCTCTATTTATAGTTTTAGTCTTGAAATCTATTTTGTGTGATACAAGTCTAGCTACTTCTACTATTTTCTGGTTTCCACTGGCATGGAATATCTTTTTCCATTATTTTATTTTCAATTTTTGTATGTCTTTTTAGGTGAAGTGTGTTTCTTATAGGCAACAGATCATTGAGTCTTGTTTTTTCATTCATGTAGCCACTCTGTGTCTTTTGATTGGAGAGTTTAGTCCATTTACAATCAGTGTTATTGTTGATAAGTAAGAACTTAATCTTGCCATTTTGTTATTTGTTTTCTGGTCTTCTCTTTTTTGTTTCCTTCTTGTCTTCCTTTTAGTGAAGGTGATTTTCTCTGGTGGTATGTTTTAATTTCTTATTTTTTTATGGATCTGTTGAATGTTTTTTGATTTGAGGTTACCAGGAAGCTTGTAATCTTACAATCCATTATTTTAAACTGCTGACAACTTAATGCTGATTGCATAAACAAATAAGCAATGAGAAAACTAGTAAAAACTCCATACTTTACCTTTGTCTCCCTGCTTTATAGGTTTTTGTTGTTTCTATTTATATCTTATTGTACTCTGTCTTAAAAAGTTGTCATTATTCTGTTTGATTAGTTTATCTTTTAGTCTTTCTACTTAATATATGAGTAATTTATACACTGCAATTGCACTGTATAACATTCTGTGTTTTTCCATGCTCTTACTATTACCAGTTAGTTTTGTACCTTCAGATGATTTCTTATTGCTCATTCATTCCTTTTCTTTAAGACTGAGGAACTCCCTTTAGCATTGCTTGTAGGACCGCTCTGGTGTTGATGAAATCCCTCATCTTTTGTTTGTCTGATAAAGTCTTTACTTTTCCTTGTGTTTGAAGGATTTTTTTTGTGGATATACTATTCTAGGGTAAAAGTTTTCTTCCTTCAGCACTTGAAATATGTCATGCCACTCTTTTCTTGCTTATAAATCTTCTACTAAAAAGTCTGCTACCAGACATATTAGAGCTCCTTTGTATGTCATTTCTTTTTTCTTGCTGCATTTGGATATTTTCCTTATTTTTGCTTTATCCTTAACCATTAGGAGTTTGATTATTAAATGCCTTGAGGTAGTCTTCTTTGGATTAAATCTCCCTGATGTTCTACAAACTTCTGGTACTTGAATGTTAGTATCTTTCTCTAGGTTTTGGATGTTTTCTGTTATTATCCCTTTGAATGAACTTTTTGCCCTATCTTTCTCTCTACATCCTCTTTAAGTCCGGTAACTTAGATTTGCCCTTTTGAGGCTATTTCCTACATGTCTTAGGCATCCTTTTTAAATGTTTTTATTCTCTTTGATTTGGTTTCCTCTGACTCTGTATTTTCAAATAGCCTGTCTTGAAGCTCACTGATTCTTTCTTCTGCATGATCAATTCTGCTATTAAGAGACTCTGATGCATTCTTCAATATGTCACTTGGATTTTT
This sequence comes from Homo sapiens, assembly GCF_000001405.40. NCBI lineage: Eukaryota > Metazoa > Chordata > Mammalia > Primates > Hominidae > Homo > Homo sapiens. Next base: position 106,195,230 of record NC_000009.12, read on the forward strand.
CAACTCCAGAATTCCTACCTGATTCCTTTTAATTATTTCAGTCTCCTTGTTAATTTTATCTTATTGGATTTTGAATTTCTCCTTTGTGTTATTTTGAATTGCACTGAGTTTTCTCAAAACAGCTATTTTGAATTATCTGCCTGCTAGGTCACATAGCACTGTCTCTCTAGGATTGGTCTCTGGTGCCTTATTTAGTTTGTATGGTGAGGTCATGTTTTTGTTGATCATCTTGATGCTTGTGGATGTTTGTCAATGTCTGGACATCAAAGAGTCAGGTATTTATTGTAGTCTTCACAGTCTGAGCTTGTGCGTACCCATTCTTCTTGTGAAGGCTTTCCAAGTATTCAAAGGGATTTGGGTGTTGTAATCTAAGTTTTCAGTTACTGCAGCTGTATCTGAATTAGGGGGCACTCCAAGCCCAATAACACTATAGCTCTTGCAGATTTGCGAGGTGCTGTCTTAGTGGTCTTGGATAAGATTCTGAAGAATTCTCTGGATTACCAGAAAGAGACTCTTTTCCCTTACGTTTTTCCAAACAGAATCTCTCTGTACAAATTTTACAGTAGATTTGTTTTTCTAATTCTGCAAAAAATGATGGTAGTTTGATAGGCATAGCATTTAATCAGTAGTTTGCTTTGGTCATATGGTCATTTTAACAATATTGATTTTTCAAATCAATAAGCATGGAATGTTTCTCAATTTTTATGTGTCATCTATGATTTCCTTCAGCAATGTTTTGCTGTTGTTGTTGTTGTTGTTGTTGTTATTATTATTATTATTATTATTTGAGGGGTCATCTCTCTCTGTCACCAGCCTGGAGTGCAGTTGCATGATCTCGGCTCACTGCAACCTTCGACTCCTGCATTCAAGTGATTCTCCTGCTTCAGCCTCCTGAGTAGCTGGGATTATAGGCACACACCACTACACCCAGCTAATTTTTGTATTTTTACTAGAGATGGGGTTTCATCATGTTGGCCAGGATGGTCTCCATCTCCTGATTTCGTGGTCTGCCTGCCTTGGCCTCCCAAAGTGCTGGGATTACAGGCATAAGCCACTGTGCCTTGCTTGTAATCATATTTGTAGAGATCTTTCCCACCTCCATGGTTAGGTATATTCTTTGTAGAGATCTGTTACCTCTGTGGTTAGGTGTATTCTTAGGTAATTTATTTTATTTTTTGTCGTTATTGTAAATGGGATTGTGTTTTTGATTTGGCTCTCAACTTGACTGTTATTGGTGTTTAGCAACGCTGCTTTTTTTTCGAACAATGATTATGCATTCTGAAACTTTACTAAAGGTTTTTATCAGGTCTGGGAGCCTTCTGGCAGAGTCTTTAGGGTTTTCTAGATATAGAATAATATTGTGAGTAAAGAACAATAGCTGGGCCTTTTCTTTTCCTATTGGATGCTATTTATTTCTTTCTGTTGCCTGATCTGGCTGTGACTTCCAGTACTGTTTTGAATAGGAGTGTTAAGAGTGGGTATCCTTATCTTATTCCAGTTCTTAAGGAGAATGCTTCAAATTTCTGTCCATTCAGTATGATGTTAGCTGTGAATTTCTCATAGATGGCTCTTAATATTTTGAGGTATGTTCCTTTGATGTCTAGTTTGTTGAGGGTTTTTATTATCAAAGGATGTTGGATTTTATTGACAGCTTTTTGTATGTCTACTGAGATGATCATATGGTTTTTAATTCTGTTTGTGTGACAAATTATACTTATAGATTTGCATATGTTGAACAAATCTTACATTCCAGAAATAAAGCCCACTTGATTATAGTGAATTAACTTTAAGATGTGCTGCTGGATTTGGTTTGCTAGCAATTTGTTGAAGATTTTTGCATCTATCTTCATCAGGGATATCTGCCTGTGGTTTTCTTATTTGTTGTGTCTTTGCCACATTTTGGTATCAGGATGATCCTGGCTTTGTAGAATGAGTTAGAGAGGAGATGCTTCTTCTTGATTTTTTAGAATAGTTTCAGGAGTATTGGTACCAGCTATTCTTTATACATCTGGTAGAATTCAGCTGTGAATCCATCTGGTCCAGTGCCTTTTTAAAATTAGTGTTTTTTTTTTTTAATTACTGATTGAATTTCAAAACTCATTATTGGTCTGTTTCAGATTCATTATTGGTCCTAATTCAGATTTGGGAGCTTGTATCTTTCCAGGAATTTGTCCATTTCCTCTAGATTTTCTAGTTTGTATGCATAGAGGTATTCATAGTAGTCACTAAGGATCTTTTGTATTTCTGTGGATTTGGTTGTCATGTCACCTTTGTCATTTCTGATTGTGCTTATTTGGATCTTCTCTCTTTTTTCTTTGTCAATTTAGCTAGCAGTGTATTGATTTTTTTTATCTTTTCAAAGAAAAAACTACCTTTTTGTTTTGTTGATCCTTCGTATAGATTTCTGAGTCTTAATTTCATTTAGTTCTGCTCTGATTTTAGTTATTTTCTTCTGCTAACTTTGGGGTTACTTTGTTCTCTAAGAAATATTTTTATACTCCAAGTTGGTAACCATATTATTTTGTGTTTTCTTCTAGCTGTGTAACACTTTGGCTTTATATTTGAGTTTATAATCCATCTTAAATTAATTTTGTGTATGGTGTGAAGTAAATTTTGAAGTTCTTTTTATCCCCATTTTTTTTTAAAGTTGTTCCAGCAACAATTGCAGAAAATCCTTTCTTTTCTCATTTAATTGCTTTAGCATCTTTGTGGAAATCAATTGTCCATTTATGAGTGGGTCTTTGTCTGGATATTCTACTCTGTCCATTTTTCTTTGACTTTTGCCAGTATGACACTGTGTTAATTGCTATAGCTTTATAATAAGTTCTGAAATCAGGTAGTTTGAATACCCAACTTTACTTTTTATCTTTAAGAATGTTTTAGCTAGACTAGTTTCTTTGCTTTTCTATATAAATTTTGAAAATTAAAAAAGGTATTTGTTGCATAAAACTTGTACATCAGTTTAGAGGATTAATTTCTTAACAATATTGTATTTTCCAAACTATTATCATTATATATCTCTTCATTTATTTACATAGATTTTCTTTAGTTTCTCTCAGCAATGTTTAACAGATTTCAGTTTAGAAATTTATTCCTTACTATTATGTCTTTTTAACTGAGTCTTTTTTTATTATTATACTTTAAGTTCTGGGGTACATGTGCACAGCATGCAGGTTTGTTACATAGGTATACATGTGCCATGTTGGTTTGCGTCACCGATCAACTTATCATTTACATTAGGTATTTCTCTTAATGCTATCCCTCACCGACTCCCCAGCTCCCTGACAGGCCCCAGTGTGTGAAGTTCCCCTACCTGTGTCCATGTGATTTCATTGTTCAACTCTCACTTATGAGTAAGAACATGCAGCGTTTGGTTTGTTCTTCTTGTGTTAGTTTGCTGAGAATGATGGTTTCCAGTTTCATCCATGTCCCTGCAAAGGACATGAACTCATCCTTTTTTATGGCTGCATAGTATTACATGATGTATATGTGCCACATTTTCTTTATCCAGTCTATCATTGATGGGCATTTTGGTTGGTTCCAAGACTTTGCTATTGTGAACAGTGCAGCAATAAACATACGTGTGCATGTATCTTTATAGCAGAATGACTCATAATCCTTTGGGTATACACCCAGCAATGGGATTGCTGGGTCAAATGGTGTTTCTGGTTCTAGATCCTTGAGGAATCACCACACTGTCTTCCCCAGTGGTTGAACTAATTTACACTCCCACCAGCTGTGTAAAGGCATTCCTATTTCTCCACATCCTCTCCAGCATCTGTTGTTTCCTGACTTTTTAATGATCGCCATTCTAACTGACATGAGATGATACCTCATTGTGGTTTTGATTTGCATTTCTCTAATGAGCAGTGATGATGAGCATTTTTTCATATGTTTGTTGGCTGCATAAATGTCTTCTTTTGAGAAGTGTCTGTTCATATCCTTTGCCCATTTTTTATGGGGTTTTTTTTCTTGCAAATTTGTTTACCTTCTTTGTAGATTCTGGATTTGGCCCTTTGTCAGATGGATAGATTGCAAAAATTTTCTCCCATTCTGTAGGTTGCCTGTTCACTCTGCTGATAGTTTCTTTTGCTGTGCATAAGTTCTTTAGTTTAATTAGATCCCATTTGTCAATTTTGGCTTTTGTTGCCATTGCTTTTGGTGTTTTACTCATGAACTCTTTGCCCATGCCTATGTCCTGAATGGTATTGCCTATGTTTTCTTCTAGGGTTTTTATGGTTTTAGGTCTTACATTTAAGTCTTTAATCCTTCTTGAGTAAATTTTTGTATAAGGTGTAAGGAAGGGATCCAGTTTTAGCTTTCTGCATATGGCTAGCCAGTTTTCCCAGCACCATTTATTAAATAGGGAATCCTTTCTCCATTGCTTGTTTTTGTCACGTTTGTCAAAGATCAGATGATTGTGGATGTGTGGTGTTATTTCTGAGGCCTGTGTTCTGTTCCATTGGTCTATATCTCTGTTTTGGTACCAGTACCATGCTGTTTTGGTTACTGTAGACTTGCTGTATAGTTTGAAGTCAGGTAGCATGATGCCTCCAGCTTTGTTCTTTTTGCTTAGGATTGTCTTGGCTGTGCTTGGCTCTTTTTGGTTCCATATGAAATTTAAAGTAGTTTTTTCCAATTCTGTGAAGAAAGTCAGTGGTAGCTTGATGGGGATAGCACTGAATCTATAAATTACCTTGGGCAGTATGGCCATTTTCACAATATTGATTCTTCTTATCCATGAGCATGGACTGTTCTTCCATTTGTTTGTGTCCTCTTTTATTTCCTTGAGCAGTGGTTTGTAGTTCTCCTTGAAGAGATCCTTCATATCACTTGCAATGTGGATTCCTAGGTATTTTGTTCTCTTCATAGCAGTTGTGAATGGGATTTCACTCATGATTTGGCTCTCTGTTATTGGTGTATAGGAATGCTTGTGATTTTTGCACATTGATTTTATACCCTGAGACTTTGCTGAAGTTGCTTTTCAGCTTAAGGAGATTTGGGGCTGAGATGATGGGGTTTTCTAAATATACAATCATGTCATCTGCAAACAGAGACAATTTGACTTCCCCTTTTCCTAATTGAATACGCTTTATTTCTTTCTCTTGCCTGATTGCCCTGGCCAGAACTTCCAATACTTTGTTAAATAGGAGTGGTGAGAGAGGGCATCCTTGTCTTGTGCCAGTTTTCAAAGGGAATACGTCCAGTTTTTGCCCATTCAGTATGATATTGGCTGTGGGTCTGTCATAAATTGCTCTTATTATTTTGAGATACATTCCATCAATACCTAGTTTATTGAGAGTTTTTAGCATGAAGGGCTGTTGATTTTTTTTGAAGGCCTTTTCTGCATCTATTGAGATAATCATGTGGTTTTTGTCATTGGTTCCGTTTATGTGATAGATTATGTTTATTGATTTGCATATGTTGAACCAGCCTTGCATCCTAGGGATGAAGCGGACTTGATCATGGTGGGTAAGCTTTTTGATGTGCAGCTGGATTCAGTTTGCCAGCATTTTATTGAGGATTTTCGCAACGATGTTCATCAGGGATATTGGCCTAAAATTTTCTTTTTTTGTTGTGTCTCTGCCAGATTTTGGTATCAGGATGATGCTGGCCTCATAAAATGAGTTAGGGAGTATCCCCTCTTTTTCTATTGATTGGAATAGTTTCAGAAGCAATGGGAGGAAGCTCCTCTTTGTACCTCTGGGAGAATTTGGCTGTGAATCTGTGAGGTCCTGGACTTTTTTTTATTGCTATAGTTTCAGAAGGAATGGTTCCAGCTCCTCTTTGTACTTCTGGTAGAATTCGGCTGTGAATCAGTCAGGTCCTGGACTTTTTTTGGTGGGTACGCTATTAATTACTGCCTCAATTTCAGAACCCGTTATTGGTCTATTCAGAGATTCGACTTCTTCCTGGTTTAGTCTTGGGAGGGTGTAGTGTCCAGGAATTTATCCATTTCTTCTAGATTTTCTAGTTTATTTGTGTAGAGGTGTTTATAGTATTCTCTGATGATAGTTTCTATTTCTGTGGAATCGGTGGTGGTATCCCCTTTATCATTTTTTATTGATTCTATTTGATTCTTCTCTCTTTTCTTCTTTATTAGTCTGGCTAGCAGTCTATCAACTTTGTTGATCTTTTCAAAAAACCAGCTCCTGGATTCATTGATTTTTTGAAGGGTTTTTTGTGTCTCTAGCTCCTTCAGTTCTGCTCTGATCTTAGTTATTTCTTGTCTTCTAGCTTTTGAATTTGTTTGCTCTTGCTTCTCTAGTTCTTTTAATTGTGATGTTACTGTGTCAATTTTAGATCTTTTCTGCTTTCTCTTGTGGGCATTTAGTGCTATAAATTTCCATTTACACACTGCTTTAAATGTGTCCCAGAGAGATTCTGGTATGTTTTGTCTTTGTTCTCATTGGTTTCAAAGAACATCTTTATTTCTGCCTTCATTTTGTTATTTACCTAGTAGTCATTCAGGAGCAGGTTGTTCAGTTTCCATGCAGTTGTGCGATTTTGAGTGAGTTTCTTAATCCTGAGTTCTAATTTGATTGCACTGTGGTTGAGAGACAGTTTGTTGTGATTTCTGTTCTTTAACATTTGCTGAGGAGTGTTTTACTTCCAATTATGTGGCCAATTTTAGAATAAGTGCGATGTGGTGCTGAGAAGAACGTATATTCTGTTGATTTCTCGTGGAGAGTTCTGTAGATGTCTATTAGGTCTGCTTGGTCCAGAGCTGAGTTCAAATCCTGGATATCTTTGGTAATTTTCTGTCTTGTTGATCTAATATTGAAAGTGGGGTGTTAAAATTTCCCACTATTTTTGTGTGGAAGTCTAAGTCTCTTTGTAGGCCTCTAAGAACTTGCTTTATGAATCTAGATGCTCCTGTATTGGGTGCATATATATTTAAGATAGTTAGCTTTTCTTTTTGCATTGATCCCTTTACCATTATGTAATGCCCTTCTTTGTCTCTTTTGATCTTTGTTGGTTTAAAGTATTTTTCATCAGAGACTCTTTGCACGTGTGATTGGTCTCCTGAATACAGCACACCAATGGGGCTTGACTCTTTATCTAATTTGCCAGTCTGTGTCTTTTAATTGGGGCATTTAGCCCATTTAGATTTAAGGTTAATATTGTTATGTGCAAATTTGATCCTGTCATTATGATGCTAGCTGGTTATTTTGCCCATTAGTCGATTCAGTTTCTTCATAGCGTTGATGGTCTCTGCAATTTGGCATGTTTTTGCCATGGCTGGTAACAGTTATTCCTTTCCATGTTTAGTGCTTCCTTCAGGAGCTCTGGTAAGGCAGGCTTGGTGGTGACAAAATCTCTCAGCATTTGCTTGTCTGTAAAGGCTTTTATTTCTCCTTCACTTATGATAGTTTGGCTGGATATGAAATTCTGGGCTGAAAATTGTTTTCTTTAATAATGTTGAATATTGGCCCCCACTCTCTTCTGGCTTATAGGGTTTCTGCTGAGAGATCTGCTGTTAGTCTGGTGGGCTTCCCTTTGTGGGTAACCCGAGCTTTCTCTTTGGCTGCCCTTAACATTTTTTCCTTCATTTCTACCTTGGTGAATCTGACAATTATGTGTCTTGGGGCTGCTCTTTTCGAAGAATATCTTTGTGGTGTTCTCTGTATTTCCTGTATTTGAAAATTGGCCTGCCTTGCTAAGTTGGGGAAGTTCTCCTGGATAATATCCTGCAGAGTGTTTTCCAACTTGGTTCCATTCTCCCCATCACTTTCAGGTACACCAATCAGACGTAGATTTGGTCTTTTCACGTAGTCCCATATTTCTTGGAGGCTTTGTTTGTTTCTTTTCACTCTTTTTTCTCTAATCTTGTCTTCCTGTTTTATTTCATTAAGTTGATCTTCAGTCACTGATATCCTTTCTTCCGCATGATTGATTCGGCTATTGAAGCTTGTGTATGCTTCACAAAGTTCTCATGCTGTGTTTTTCAGCTCCATCAGGTCATTTATGTTCTTGTCTACACTGTTTATTCTAGTTAGCAATTCATCTAACTGTTTTTCAAGGTTCTTAGCTTTCCCTTGCTGGCGAGGAGTTGTGATCCTTTGGAGGAGAAGAGACATTCTGGTTTTTGGAATTTTCAGCCTTTCTGTGCTGGTTTCTTCCTATATTTGTGGTTTTATCTACCTTTGGTCTTTGATTTTGGTGATCTAGAGATGGGGTTTTGGTATGGACATCCTTTTGGCTGATGTTGATGCTGTTCCTTTCTGTTTTTCAGTTTTCCTTCTAACAGTCAGGCCTCTCAGCTGCAGGTTGTTGGAGTTTGTTGGAGGTCCACTCCAGACCCTGTTTGCCTGGGTATCACCAGCAGAGGCTGCAGAACAGCAAATATTGCTGCCTGATCCTTCATCTGGAAGCTTCTTCCAGAGGGGCACCCACCAGATGCCAGCCAGAGCTCTCCTCTGTGAGGTGTCTGCCGGCCCCTACTGGAAGCTGTCTCCCAGTCAGGCTACACAGGGGTCAGGTACCCACCTGAGGAGGCAGACTGTCCATTATCAGAGTTCAAACGCTTTGCTGGGAGAACCACTGCTCTCTTCAGAGCTGTCAGGGACATTTAAGTGTGCTGAAGCTGTGCCCACAGCTGCCCCCTCCCCCAGGTGCTCTGTCCCAGGGAGATGGAGGTTTTATCTATAAGTCCCTGACTGGGGCTGGTGTCTTTTGTTCAGAGATGCCCTGCCCACAGAGGTGTAATCTAGAGGGGCAGTTGGGTTTGCTGAGCTGAGGTGGGCTCCGCCCAGTTAGTACTTCCCGTGGCTTTGTTTACACTGTGAGCATAAAACCACTTACTCAAGCCTCAGCAATGGCTGGCACCCCTCCCCCCACTAAGCTCCAGTGTTCCGGGTCAATCTCAAACTGATGCACTAGTAGTGAGAATTTCAAGCCAATGGATATTAACTTGCTGGGCTCCATGGGTGTGGGACCTGCCGAGCCAGGCACCAGAGGGAATTTCCTGGTCTGCCAGTTGCAAAGATAGTGGGAAAAGCAGAGTATCTAGGCAGGAGTGTACCATTCCTCCTGGTACAGTCTCTCACAGCTTCCCTTGGCTAGAAAAGGGAAATCCCCTGACCCTTTGCACTTCCCGGGTGAGGTGACACCTCACCCTGCTTTGGCTCACCCTCCATGGGCTGCACCCACTGTCCAACCAGTCCCAGTGAGATGAACCAGGTACCTAAGTTGGAAATGCAGAAATCACCCATCTTCTGCATCGATCTCGCTGAGAGCTGCAGACCGGAGCTGTTCCTATGAGTCTTTTTAATAGATGTTCTCAAATGGTCTTTGTGCTCATTTAATCTTCTACCAACAAAATAGGACAGGTTTTCTATTTTCCCTCCCTTGAAAAATGTGTAATTTTAGAATATTTTTGATCTTTGCCAACTGAATATTATCTCATTTTAGCTTTAACTTTTACTTCTTTTATTGTGTGAGCTTCTTTTCCTATGTCTAGAAGTTTTGTATTTCCTCTTCTATGAGCGTGTTTATGTTCTTTGCCAACTTTTCTGTGACGTAGTAGATTATTCTCTTGTTGGTTTGCAGTAGCTCTTTCTTATATACACACACACAAATGGCATTTTTATGTTATTTCTTCCAGATTTTTGTTTGTCCTTTAAGTGTATTTGTTTTTTATTTATTATGCATGAAAATTTGAAAGATATAATAATCTTTTATGATTTCTTAGTTTCATGTCATACTGATAATATTCCTACTCACTCTAATATTACAAAGTAATTCCATGTTTTCTTTGTAGAATTTTGAGGTTTCAGTTTTTCATTTAAGCCATTTGCTTATCTGTAATGCATTTTTTGTAGGACTCTATGTAATATGTGGTGAGAATCTTTACATTTTCTAGAAGATTACTCATTTTTTGAGCAATCCTTCCTTTCCCCACGACTATCTCAACATGTACTAAATTCGCACACACATACACACACACACACATAATTTTTATATATATATGATTTAATAATGCTAGTTTTAAATGCGTTCTAGTATCTGTTAGGGGTAGTACTGCTTTATTAATAGTCCTTTAAATTTTTTAATATATTCTTGCATGCTGATTTTGCAAATTTTTTTTTTGTCTAATTCTAAACCTAAAACTTCTATTGATTTTTTTTTTAGGAGCAGGTAAAATTTATAAATTAGTTTAGAGAGAACTGATACATTTCCAATATTCTATCTTCCTGTCTGAGTTAAAGTATTCCTTCCCTTTATTCAAGCCTTCTCCTGGGTTCCACAGAAAGTTTTAAAGTTGCCTAAATGTTAGATATATCTAGTTTTTTCTTTCTGTATATTCTATTTTTGTAGTTATTTTTGCCATTGTAAGTAGTATCTTCTCTTGTGTTATATTTACTAACTTGTTGTGTGAATCTGACATGATATTAATTTTATATTCATCCAACTGACAGCATTCTCTAATCCTTGTCATTTCTGTCTTGGATAGGAAAGGTTTCAGTGTTTTATTTGTAAGTCTGATGGTCTCTCTCTCTCTCTTTCTTTCACTCATCATGTCAGATAAGTACCAACTGATTTTTATTTAAAGTATTAATAATTATAGATAGATGTCGGATTTTGTTAAATGACTTTTCATGCTTCAAAGAAGATAACCATGTGATATTTTTCCTTTAATCTTTTAATATAATGAGTTATATTTCATAATATTGGACTATCTTTGGTATAAACCCAATTTTGTTGTGGTGTATTTTGTATTCATGGGCTTCTGGTTTTTGTTTGCTTATATATTATTTAGATTTTTTAAAATAAAGACTCATAAGAGAAGTTAGTGCTATCATTGTTAGATTTTAGTATTAACGTTTTTCTGATTAATATTTTCTCTTTCCATAAAAGAGAATTTAAAATTGCTTATATTTTCTTAACTCCAGAAATGCTTACAGAGTATTTGAAATATATTTTTAAAAAGTTTGGTGGAATTCAACTGAAAGACTTAATTTGATCCTCTGTAGTGAAAGGGGGTCAAGTAATTCTTTGACAGATTTGCCTGTGTTTCATGTGATCATTCATTTGTTTTGATTTTCCACTATTTCTTGGCTTTTTTGTAATTCATTTTCCTAGAAAATTATCTATTTGAGTCAGGTTTTCAAGTTAATGTGTATAGTCAAACAAAATAGCCTATTATGATCTTTTACATTTTTCTTTAGGTGGTGAATTCCTCATTGTAATTTTCCATTTATATACTTGTGCTTTTCTCTATCTTGCTTCTAAAAATGAAATTAATAGTTTATCTTTTTAAATGGTTTTATTAAGATCTAATTAGCACATCATATAATCTATCCATGTAAAGTAACTAGTGGAAGGGTTTTTCATATACTCAGAGAGTTGTGCGATCATCACTATAATTACAACTTTTTTTTTTTTTTGAGACCCAGGCTGGAGTGCAGTGGTGCCGTCTGGGCTCACTGCAAGCTCCGCCTTCCAGTTCACACCATTCTCCTGCCTCAGCCTCCCGAGCAGCTGGGACTACAGGCCCCTACCACAACGCCCTGCTAATTTTTTTTTTTTTTTTTTTTTTTGTATTTTTAGTAGAGACGGGGTTTCACCGTGTTAGCCAGAATGGTCTTGATCTCCTGACCTCGTGATCCGCCCGCCTCGCCCTCCCAAAGTGCTGGGATTACAGGCGTGAGCCACCATGCCGACCAATTACAACATTTTTATTATTGCAAAAGGAAACCTCATACTTAAACCGTCACTTACAATTTCCTCCCAACCTTCTCCACTCCCGTCTGGGTAACCACCAATCTATGTTCTGCCTTATAAATTTGCCTGTTCTGGATATTTTGGAATTATTCAGTATGTGTGTGGTCTTTGTGACTGGCTTCTATCAGTTAGCATCAAGTTTTCAGGATTCTTCCATATCGTACGATGTATAAGTACATCTTTCCTTTTCATAAGTACATCATTCCTTTTTATTGCTGAATAATATTCTACTGTATTCATATGCCACATATTATTTATCTTTTCTTCAGTTGGGGGGCATTTGCATTGTTTTCTGTTGGTGGCTATTATGAATAATGCTGCTATGAACATTTGTGTACAAGTCTTTGTGTGAATATATGTTTTCATTTCTTTTTGGTAGATACCTAGGAGTGGAATTACTAGGTTATATGGTAATTCTGTGTTTAACATCTTGAGGAGCTACCAAACTGTTTTCCAGTGTGGGTGTGCCATTTTAAATTCTCACAAGCAATGTGTGAGTGTTCCAGTTTCTTCACATGCTTGCCAATAGTTATTACTGTCTTTGTGTCTTATTATAGCCACCTTAGTGGTGTGAAGTGATACCTCATTGTGGTTTGATTTGCATTTCCCTTTGATAGCTAATGATGTTAAACAGCTTTACTTGTCATTTGCATATCTCTTTGGAAAAATGTCTGTTCAAATCCTTTGCCCGTTTTTTATTTGGATGATTTGTCTCTTGAAAGTGTATACATATATTCTAGAAACAATTTCTTTATCAGACTTATTATTTGCAAATATTTTCTTATATTCTATGGGTTGATTTTCATTTTCTTTATGGTGTCCTTTGAAGCCCAAAAGTTTTCAATGTTGAAGAAGTCTAATTTACCATTTTTTGGAGGGTAGAGGATCATCTGTGCTTTTGGTGTTAAATTTAAGAAGGCTTTGCCTAACCCAAGGTCACAAAAATTTACTCAACACTTTCTGCTAAGAGTTTTATAACTTTGACTCATATTTAGGTCTATGATGCATTTTGAGTTAATTTTTGTGTATAGTGTAATGAGGAGGTCCAACTTCATTCAGTTGATATAGTTGTATTAGTTTATTTGTGAATTCTCATTCTATTCCAATGACTTGTCTATCCTTGTGCCACTACCATACTATTGATTAACTACAGCAATAATACAGTATGATAAAGTATTGATTAGCTATAGCTTTGTAGTAAATTTTGAAATCAGGTTGTGTCAGTCTTCAAACTTTGTTCTTCTTTTACAATACTGTTTTGACTCTTCTGAGTCCCTTGAATTTCCATATGAATATTGGGATCAGCTTGTCAACTTCTTCAAAACAGCCTACTAAGGATTTGACAGAGATTGTGCTGAACCTACAGGGGAGTCTGGGGGAATAGTGCCATATCAATGCAACATAAAGTCTTTCAATCTGTAAACATGAAACATCTTTCCATTTAAGTCTTTAATTTAGTTAATTTTTTTTGTAGTACAAGTTTTGTACTTCTTGTTAAGTTTATATCTAAGAATTTTACTTTTTCATACTAGTGTAAGTGAAATTGCTTTCTTAATTTCATTTGGATTGTTTATTGCTGGTTTATTGGAAATGGAATTAATTTTTACATGTTGATCTCATACCTTAACACCTTGCTTTACTTGTTTGTTAGTTCTAACAGTTTAGGTGAATTTCTTAGGATTTTTTAATATATAAAATAGTTATCATCTGAAAATGGAGATTTTAACGTTTCTTTTCTAACTTGAATGTTTTTTAGCTCTTTTTCTTGCATAATTGCCCTTGGCGAGATCTCCATTTCAATGTTAAATGTAAATGGCCAGCATGGACATTTTTGTCTCGTTCCTGATGTTAAAGGAAAAGCTTTCCGTTTTTCGCTATCACATGTATGATATTAGTTATGGATTTTTTTTTTTTTTTTTTTTGAGACAGAGTCTCACTCTGTCGCCCAGGTTGGAGTGCAGTGGCACTATCTCGGCTCACTGCAAGCTCTGCCCCCCCGGGTTCATGCCATTCTCCTGCCTCAGCCTCCCGAGTAGCTGGAGCTACAGGCACTCGCCTAATTTTTTGTATTTTTAGTTGAGACGGGGTTTCACCATGTTAGCCAGGATGGTTTCGACCTCCTGACCTCGTGATCCGCCCGCCTCGGCCTCCACAAGTGCCGGGATTATAGGCATGAGCCACCACATCCCACCTAGTTATGGATTTTTTTTATGTCCATAATAACCTTTACCAGGTTGAAATAGTTTCCTACTATTGCTAATTCATTCAGGTTTCCTGTGTGGTCTAGTTGATTAATAATTTTGTGAATGTTATATGGACGCTTAAAAAAGATACCTGCTATTTTTTCATATAATAGATTCCTATATAAATCAATGAAACATATCTTATTTATTACATTTTAGGTCTTCACTATCCTTATTTTATTTGCTTTGGCAGAGAAAAAATTTTAAAATCTCTTCGTATGAGTATATTTCTGTTTCTCCTTTTTTTTTTTTTTAAATTATACTTTAAGTTCTGGGATACATGTGCAGAATGTGCAGGTTTGTTACATTGTGCCATAGTGGTTTGCTGCAGGTTTGCTGCACCCATCAACCCATCATCTACATTAGATATTTCTCCTAATGCTATCCCTCCCCTAGCCCCCCACCCCCCGACAGGCTCTGGTGTGTGATATTCCTCTCCTTGTGTCCATGTGTTCTCATTGTTCAACTCCCACTTATGAGTGAGAACATGCGGTGTTTGGTTTTCTGTTCTTGTGTTAGTTGGCTGAGAATGATGGTTTCCACCTTAATCTGTGTCTCTGCAAAAGACATGAACTCATCCTTTTTTAATGGCTGCATAGTATTCCATGGTGTATATGTGCCACATTTCCTTTATCCAGTCTTGTTTCTCCATTTATGTCTTCCAGCTTTTGTTTATGAATTTTGATGTGTATTATTTTGTGTATAGCTCTTTAGGTAATCATTGTGGATTGAAGCCTCTATCATTATAGTGTCCTTTTTGCCTTGTTTCCTGAATTTGACATTGTCTTTTATTAGAATATGACCAATGTCTTTCTTTACATTTTCATAAATGACTTTGCTCATTTTAAATTACCTTTTCTGAATGACTTTTTAAAATGTATCCCTGTTGTGTATGGTATATGGTTACATTTCCTTTGTGATTTAGTTTTAGCTTTTTTCTTGTCAATAGGTAAGCTTATCCCATTTATATTAATTGCTTACCGTAGTCTTAATTTTACTACCAAATATTGTGGTATTCATAGTTGTGTTAATTGATTCCTTAAAACATATTTTAATCAAATGATCTGTGATATTTTTCTTTTTGATAATTGTTTAGGTTTATGTTCTAAATTCTCTCATTTATCTTTATTATTATAACTTTCTATAATACACTGAATTCTCATATTTTTAAAGACAGTATCTATCAAGCATTTTCTCCAATCCTTATTTCTCTAATTTTCTTTTATATTTATATATATATATTTTATATATATTTTATATTTTTATATATATAAAATATACATAAATAAAAATAACTGGAATATAAATAACTGGATATAAATAACTGGAATATATATATAACTGGAATATAAATAACTGGAACAATAAAATATATATAAATAACTTGAATATAAATATAAATATAGTTATATAAATGTAACTATATTTATAAATATAGTTATATAAATATAAAAACTGGAATAATATAAATAACTGGAATAATAAAAAAATATATATTTTATATATATAACTGGTTTTATATATATGTATAAAACTGGAAGAATCATAATCATAATATATTAGCATCTACTATAAATATATTTATACTTTTAATATTATTTATACATTGTAATAGTTGATAATTTATATTTTATATTTATAGTTCCGACAATTTGTTTAGTTTTAGGCTTGTGGCACCTGAATTGCATGATGATTGCTAGAAATTTTGTAGTAGTTTTAAAATTCATTTATCTACTTAACTTAGGTTGTTTTTCCTCTAGTAGTTTTTCCAAAAAGAGCTCATTATAATTTATATTCTTTGGGTTTTTGAAAGTTCAAAATGTTTTCCTCTTGTCTCTACATTTGAATTACTCACATTCTTCCTGTAAGATTTTTCAAGCATAGTGTCATTATATTCCATTCTTCAAAATTGCCATGGACAAACCTGAGATCAGCTTGGTATGTTTTATTATTTTAAGTGATATTTTTGCTTGAACACTCAGAGGTTTCCTTATTTTTGAAATATAATAGCGTTATTAAGATGTGTTTTTGTTGGTTGTCTTATAAGATATTCATTTTCTCTGACAGAATGGACCATTTCAATCTGTTGATCCAAGTATTTTCTTTTTGAAAGTTTTCTTGAAATATATCTCAATTTTCTTTCTCATGTTTTGTTCTTTTCTTCAGGAACAGTGATCATATGTATAAATGTTCTCCCTAGTCTATTTTTTATTAGTGTAATTTTCCCTAAATTTACATAACTAATTTTTGTTTCATATAACACTGCTTTTTGTGAGCTTATCTTTACTATGTTTTTATAAGACTATTATACTGTTTTTGTGTAGTGCTTATAATATGGTCTTTATTACTTTAATGTTTTTATATTTTCTTTCCATCTTTTCTTAGCCCTGACTTCTCATACTTTACTTTCTTCTGTCATTTCACTCTATCATCACTAAGACAGATCTCATATCTTGCATTTGTATTTTTGGGTTCTTTGATTTTGTTTTTTTAATGGCCTTTGAGTCATGGAGGTAAATTTTGTCGGGATTTTCTTCTGTCTGTTGACAGCCTTTTTTGTTGTTGTTGTTTTGGAGCCATCTAGGCTCACTGCAACCTCCAGCTCCTGTGTTCAAGTGATTATCCTGCCTTGGCCTCCCGAGTAAGCTGGGATTACAGGTGCGTACAACCATGTCCGGCTAATTTTTGTATTTTTAGTAGAGACAGGGTTTCACCATGTGGCCAGGCTAGTCTCAAACTCCTGAGATCAGGTGATCTGCCCGCCTTGACCTCCCAAAGTGCTGGGACTACAGGCACGAGCCACCGCGCCCAGCCAACATTTTTTATTTATTTATTTATTTATTTATTTATTTTTTTAATTATACTTTAAGTTTTAGGGTACATGTGCACATTGTGCAGGTTAGTTACATATGTATACATGTGCCATGCTGGTGGGCTGCACCCACTAACTCGTCATCTAGCATTAGGTATATCTCCCAATGCTATCCCTCCCCCCTCCCACCTCCCCACCACAGTCCCCAGAGTGTGATATTCCCCTTCCTGTGTCCATGTGATCTCATTGTTCAATTCCCACCTATGAGTGAGAATATGCGGTGTTTGGTTTTTTGTTCTTGCGATAGTTTACTGAGAATGATGGTTTCCAATTTCATCCATGTCCCTACAAAGGACATGATAATAAGAGCTATCTATGACAAACCCACAGCCAATATCATACTGAATGGGCAAAAACTGGAAGCATTCCCTTTGAAAACTGGCACAAGACAGGGATGCCCTCTCTCACCACTCCTATTCAACATAGTGTTGGAAGTTCTGGCCAGGGCAATCAGGCAGGAGAAGGAAATAAAGGGTATTCAATTAGGAAAAGAGGAAGTCAAATTGTCCCTGTTTGCAGACGACATGATTGTTTATCTAGAAAACCCCATCGTCTCAGCCCAAAATCTCCTTAAGCTGATAAGCAACTTCAGCAAAGTCTCAGGATACAAAATCAATGTACAAAAATCACAAGCATTCCTATACACCAACAACAGACAAACAGAGAGCCAAATCATGAGTGAACTCCCATTCACAATTGCTTCAAAGAGAATAAAATACCTAGGAATCCAACTTACAAGGGATGTGAAGGACCTCTTCAAGGAGAACTACAAACCACTGCTCAAGGAAATAAAAGAGGATACAAACAAATGGAAGAACATTCCATGCTCATGGGTAGGAAGAATCAATATCGTGAAAATGGCCATACTGCCCAAGGTAATTTACAGATTCAATGCCATCCCCATCAAGCTACCAATGACTTTCTTCACAGAATTGGAAAAAACTACTTTAAAGTTCATATGGAACCAAAAAAGAGCCCGCATCGCCAAGTCAATCCTAAGCCAGCCAACATTTTTAAATGAGTCTTCTATATGTGCATCCTTCTGTGAGAAGAGAAAAGCAATTTTTGCCCATTTCTCTTTGTTTTTGTCTTAAATAATCTTTAGTTCTTTTTGAATGTTGCTTACTTTTGAATGAAATGAGTTATTGAGTTCTCAGACTGCATATGTAGGAAGTTTATGGGAAAGGGACCAAGCTGTGTTGCAGACTAGTAGGAGTTTCTGTATTTCACAGTAAGGTTATTTGTATATGAAGGTCTGCCTCTGTCTCTGTGTGTCTGTCTGCCTGTCTCTCTCTTTCTCTCTCGTGTGTGTGTGTGAGAGACAGTTGTTTAAGTCTTTATACATTTCTATTGTATCAGGCTTTGGACCTTTTCTTTTACTATAATTCATTAACAGACTGCTTCTTGTGAAAGTGGCATATCTGTCTATTTCTTTGTTTATTTCCCGCTACTCATCGTGGCCTGGGCATCTCATTTCTATTTTTTTAAAGATGTGATTATTGTTTTTTGCTTCTTGTAGTACCCCATCTGTTTTGGTGATTGTGCTCTCCTGACATGCTTAAGATCTGTTGCTGTAGGCTTCTTTCCTCAGGTTAATCCCACACAATTCATCATACATAGTAGTTTGGGATCAGAGATGTTTCTTAGTTTTTCCCAAACAGGACTTTGCTTCTGTTACTGTGCTTCACCTAGCTTTGGGAGTGTTATCTGAAAGAAGAGACCACCTTAACACCAGAAGTCTCTTAGTTATGTTGATCTTAATATAAAGGTGCAAAATAGCGGGAGAAATTATTAAGTGGAAGGAAATGTTAAAAGTAATTACATTAATAAAAGGGTAATAAAAAGAAGAAAAGACTGTTAGTGTTGTCATCCTTGATGTCCTCCAGGACATCATATATTGGTCTATTTTGAAACTTTCAGGGAAGTTTAAGAAAATGAATATAAGATACAACATTGCAATACTTGGCCTTAATTTATGTCTTTGTTAATTTTTATCTTTATCATCCTGAACAAGTGACCTAACTAGTCTAAACTTCAGTTTCTTCATCTGTAAAATTTGGACAGTAATGGCTTTTTAAAGTCACCTGTCATCTAGCAGGCATTCAATAAATATCTACTGTATTTGAATATAATATGGTAGATATTTATTTCAAGTGCCTTTAAAAATTCTTTTTTTAACTAGCAGATTTTAAAAATTAAAGACATTAAAAAGTCTGAGTCTATGGTATATGAACACCATATGATCATATTATAAGAGGATTATGCCTGGGTAAATCTTTGATTTTGATAACGTACTATATCTCTAATAGTTTTCCATCTCTGTAACATTTGACTGTTTTTAAAACATCAAACTCCAGACTTTCAATGTATTTTGTAATATAGTCTAATATAACAGTAGTATTACCAATTACATTTGTTTTTGAATTTTTGAGTCCAAGATATAAAATGCTTTTTTTGTTTGTTTTGAGACGGAGTCTCCCTCTATCACCCAGGCTGAAGTGCAGTGGCACCATCTCGGCTCACTGCAAGTTCCGCCTCCCGGCTTCACACCATTCTCCTGCCTCAGCCTCCCGAGTAGCTGGGACTACAGGTGCCAGCCACCACGCCTGGCTAATTTTTTGTATTTTTAGTAGAGACAGGGTTTCACCGTGTTAGCCAGGATGGCCTCAATCTCCTGAACTCGTGATCTGCCTCCCTCAGCCTCCCAAAGTGCTGGTATTACAGGTGTGAGCCACCACGCCCAGACCTGATAATACTTTTTTTTTTTTAACTGAGTAGACAATTCTTTCTTTTTAAGGGAATTACATTTCTCTCTCTCTATATATATATATGTGTGTGTATATATATTACATTTCTCTCTCTCTCTCTGTATATACACATATATATATACACACACACACATACAGACATATACACATATGTGTGTGTATATGTGTGTGTGTATATATATATATATATATACGTGTATCTATGTGTATGTGTATATATACACACACACACACACACACACACACAGCCCTGATAGCAGCTAATATTAACACGTAGGGCTCCATAGTTTACATATATTCTCATTTGACTTCATTTAGTTATAAAAATCTAGGCCATGAGGTAAAGGATGGTTGACAAAAACACAGTGATTCAAACATACGGATCACTCAAAAATCTGGATTTGAATTCTTCAGGATTTATATTCTAGAAACCTAAATTAACCAAATCCAAGTTTTCTAACTAAGATGGAAAGCCATAATAGAAAAATACCAATTTTTATGTATATCAAATGATCTAATGTTGCTTCATGATAACACTGTAGAATTGAATAGTTTCTGAAAGACTCAAAAAAGATTAAAAGAATTTACATAACATGTAAAAGCTTATATTTGACACCAGGAAAGTCACTTAACTTTACTGAGCTTCCATTTTCTCAAGTGTTTAAACAAAATAGTAATTCTTAACTGATCAGTTTAGATCATTGCTACATGCATTTATCTGTGGGCCAGATAACGGGCTTAAAATGTTATATAATTTGAAATCAAATGGGTTTGATGTATGAAAATGTTTTGTAAGTTGTAAAAAGTCTATACAAGTCTTAATGATTATTAGTCTTACTGAGATATTAGTTAACAAAGCAAACACTTTATTGTTCCCTCTCCTGGGTAAAATCTCACATATTTTATAGCAGTTGTGTTTTTCAAAATATCTGTGAGAGTACTGTGTTTTATATTGTTCTTATTCAGTACACAAGACCTTCTACCTGCTAAATTTTCTATCTGTTTGCTAGTACTGTAGTTCTAAGCACTGAGTAACATGTTCCCAACTCTATCTTCCACAACATCATTGCCAAGAATGAGGCTGGGTAAATGACATGAAGAAAACAGTTATCTAAAGTTATTTTGACAGAGGACATTCATAGGCATGTCCAAGTCCTTTTAGAATGCACCAACCAGTTTCTCCTTTCTTCAGGTACAATCTTGACTATATGAAAGACAGAGATATTTTTGTCTACATTTGCTAATTTTATTTTGATATATAAAGATAACAATTTAGGACTTTTTTTGTGATGAAAACTAGGAGTTTCCAAATAAAAAGTTTTGGTAAGGGCTATGTGTACTTTCTTCATCACAATTTTCTCCATCTTAAATGATGCTGTGTTGTGTGTGTGTGTGTGTATGTGTGTGTGTTATGTATAATTACATCCATGTCTTAAATAGTTGGGTTTGAATCAGTTCCAACACTGATTCAACCTCTTATAAGCCATTGTATATCTATAAAACATGGATATTTGCAAGTTTTCAAGTTTGCTGTGAAGATTAGGGCTTGTGTATGTAAAATGCCTAGCACTCTATCTAAAATAAAGTAGGTGCAGAAAAGCGTTAATTCCCCTTTCTCAAACACTGAGGCAGTAAGTAGAACACATATTTGGAAATAGAAGAATAGGGTTAAAGCATGGACTCTGCTTCTGTGAGCTTCATGGCCTGTGAACAGTCATTAAATCTCATGGTGTTTTTTGTCCCATTGTGAAATTGTAATATCATTCTCTGCCAAGCCTTGGGTGCTGTCAAATGGGAAAAATGAGACAATGCACTTAGTAAAAGTGTATTTTGCTATAAGATGTAGTGGATTGTTAGTATTAATTATTAAATAATAATGAGTATTAATTAGGGAGTGTGGTAAAATAGAGCACTGGATTTGTTGTCAGAAAGCCTGGCTTCACTTTCTCTCGCTATGTGACACATTACCCAGTCTCTTGGGACTTTTATTTTGTTCAGTATAAACCAGAAGAAAAAATATTTACCTCTATTTCTATTTTTTTAAAGAACTTCCATATTTTTTCCATAGTGGCTGCAGCAATTGACATTCCCACCAACAGTGTACTAGAGTCTCCTTTTCTCCATGCTGTCATCATTTGTTATCTTTGTCTTTTGGTAATAGTCATCCTAACAGGTGTGAGGTAGCATCTCATTGTGGACACAGCAATTCCACTACTGGGATAGATCTAAAGGAAATGAAATCAGCACCCTGTAGAGATACCTGCACTTTCATGTTAATTGCAGCATTATTCATAGTAGCCAAGATATGGAAACAACCTAATTCAGATGAATAAATACATTGTAGTATATGTCTATATTCGATGAAATATCATTCAGCCTTGAAAAGACAAGAAATGCTGCCATCTACCACAACCTGGATGAACCTGTAGGACATAATGCTAAGTGAAATAAGCCAGACATAGAAAGAAAAATATCACATGATCTCACTATATGTGGAATCTAAAAAAATTTAAGTTCATGGAAACAGAGAATAAAATGGTGACTAGAAGAGGCAGGTGAAGGGAGAGCAAATGGGGAGATGTAGGTCAAAGGGATGATAGTTAATAATATTGTATTCAAGATTTTGCTTAGAGAGTAGATTTGAGATGCTCTTGCAACAAAAACGGTGACTATGTGAGATGATGGACATGTTAATTTGCTCGACTGCAGTGACCATTTCACAATGTGTAAGTATATCAGAACTTTATGTTGTATACCTTAAATATATACAATAAAAATATAGAAAAAAAACTTCCCTTGTAGAATTGTTTTGAAAATTAAATCAGATAACATGTATGAAAGCACTTAGAAAGAGTTTAGCACATAGTAGGTTTTCAGTAAATGTTGGTTGATTTTAGTTGAATACAGGGGGGTTTAGGTCTCCTAATAGAATTTGAAAAGTTGCATGTAAACTGGCAGTATTTACAAATCTTTCTTGTTCCTCCTAGTTTCCATATAATTTGCCATGTGAAAATACTTCCATATGCTAGAAGTTGGTCTTCATATTTTTTTCTGTAGAGGTTAAAAACATCTATAGGAAAACACAGCATAGTGTCTAGCTTGCATGTAAATACAGGGTACACCATGTGTAAATGTCTTAATGCCATCTCCTTGGAGACACCTGTAAACAATTTTCCAGGCCCAATACCTTATTGCTGAGACTAAGTAATTCTGCAAACAAACATTTGGATTAATATGAATTCAGTTTTGGTTTACATATTTTCAGTACCTAGGATATGACAATGTGTTAATGTAGCTTTAAAAATTATGCATTTTTATTGAGTTTCAATATATTCTCAATATCAGTTCTTTGGCAGCCCTCAAGTTCACAAGGCCAGAAAGGAGTTTCCAACTTATTTTTTACTTTACAGCTTTCAGACCTGAATAATAGCTCTTGGAGGTAAACTACATAGAAATAACTGGGAGTTTCTATGGTACTCTGAATCCAGACATTATAAGCATGTGTCAAAATATAGATCAGTGGTTTTCCACTATATAGTTCTTATTAATGCAAAGATCCTGCTACATAGTCTGGAGTAGAGCCCAAGAATCCTCATTTTAATAAACACCCTAAGAGATTTGGATGAGTGTGTTGTGCAGGATGTCTTTTGAGAGCACTAATCTACATCCATGCCTCCAACATGACAGTACTATTGGTAAAAAGGTAAAGCACAGGAGGAATTTTCGATATGAGAAATACCCAGTGAGCCTGTACTGACACTTCCTGAGTTCAGCAATATTACATGTTTCTGTGGTTTTCTCTGGGTCTCTGCATCAAGTTCATAGTAGCACTGGTTTTCTGAGGGCCCTCCACAGTCTTGGAGCAGAACCAGGCCACTTAGCATGAAAAGGGATACCGAGATTTAATAACCAGATGACTGAAAAAGCTATTTGATCTCCAAATCTGATGTCAATGTGATAGATGCGATAAATTAGTTTACTTAACACCACTTCTAATACCTTTCTCTTATACTTTCCTGTACTATATGGGCTGGAAAGCTAAAAATCCACATTCTGAGATTCTTGTCCAGCAATGATTTTACAGGTTACCTAGATTATGCTAAGCAGATAAAATTGTGAGATACTTGGAGAGCAAAGTTAATAGCCATGTGAGATCAGATGCTGTGGTAGAAATTCTACTTACTTTCTGTTCCTGTGAGTCATGGTTGTTAAGCAGCAGGTGACAGCAGCAGTTGGGTATCAGTCATAGAAGTTCAGTGACGTGGTTGGACGTTTCTCCTGGCCATTTTGATCCAAGGTGAGTAATATTCAGTATTATTGCATTGGACGCATCTTAAATTCTGTGACTGTCTACTATCCTCTAATATAGATCCTTCTACTTACACCAGATATGATGGCTTCTGTTGTCTGCAACTAAGCTGCCTCGAGGTTAGTTAGGCTTAAAGAGTTTGTTGAGTTCAAGGCTGAAATATTTCCTCCACCTATGTATGCAGCTTATTTCCTCCACTTATGTGGAGAAATATTTTCTCCACCTATGTACTCACCTTCCTCCTCCTTCCTTTCTGCTATCAGAAACTGCCACATTATTCTAGAGTCCACAGTCTACCTCCTTTAATGGGTGACAGGATCCCAGTCCAGGCATGCTGATCTCTTAATTTGCTTATATGAACTTGGATACAAAACACTGCTGACTTTCCCAAGCATTCATTCTTCAGTCTTTAGTTTTCTAGACATTTTTCTATATATATATACACACACACATATATATACATATATATACACACATATATACACATATATATACACATATATATACATATATACATATATACACACATATATACATATATACACATATATATATACATATATATACACATATATATATACATATATATATTGTGTTGTCTTCCATCATCTTCCCCAATTCATCTCTGAGAAATGAACCCTATAAAATAGGGATAATTTTAAAATTATGGCTATGCAATGGGGTCAGAAATAATATAGAACACTAATCATCATAACATCAACAACAATAATATTGATGACATTTGCATTATACACTAATAGCTACAATATCTTGAGCAATTACTCTTTCCCAAGCAACATGCTAGGGTTTTGCATAAAGTATTTCATCTAATAATTGATGACACCTCAGATTGTCCTATGGCTCCTAATCCAGTTTCATTTTTGTTATGTATTTTTGTTGCTACCGCAAACCTTGAATAATGGAGAGGTAATTCTCTATCATCTATAAACGCTATTCTCTAATTTCTATCTTTTCATAGTTAGTGCGTAAATATGCTTTAGAGAGTTTTTTTTTTTTTTAAGTGAGCAACAGTGTTATGTGAATATAACTGGCAGGCAACCTGCTCTAACATGTCCTGATAAAATAATGTCCCTTAAGTGTCTATCCACCTTCGGAATCAACTTCAGTTGCATTTGTTGGTTGGCATTCATCAATGTGGCCTACAAAGAGAATTGTCATGCTATGGTCCAGGCTGGATTGATGATTTTATTGCACAGTGTCTGGAACTTAGTAGATGTTCAACATGAATAAGTTATCTTGGTTCTTCTGGGTGTGGTCCTAAGGGACATGAGGTTGGCTGCAGGTTGCAATAAAAAATATTGTGTGTCCCCAGTTGTGTTTGCCTCAAGCATCTCTGCTCTGGGATGTCACTTCCTTCTATGAGACATTTATTTCTATTTGCAAGAACTTTTCACTCTCTCTGTCTGTTACTGCTCAAAGGTCACCTGAAATGCAGAGCTTTTATTAGCTCCGGTGAAAGGATATGGTCTGCCCTGAATGCGCTCTGCCAGGTGCCTTTCTCATTTTCTTATTAGCAAGGAATGGATTCTCTCTTCGCTTACCTAGCCCTGCGGCTTTTCCTTTCTGTCTCTCTTCACACTTATTAATCCCCCTCCTGTCTTTTGCCCAAAGGAAAACGATGAAAGGGCCTATTTTCCTGCATGTTTCTTTTTTTTTAATTTGCTGAGGGGACCAACTTACAGATGAGAATATAAACTCAAAAAGGGTTTTCCCCGTTGTTGAGATGACCACTGTCCTTCTTTCAGCATAGTACTAGTAAATTATCCTGAGATGTGTGTGAGGGGTTATGCTTAACTACTGCCTTTCCTCTGTCATATGGATGGCACAGGGAAGGAATGATTATGATCACACAAATTAAGTGGAGGCAATGGAACAAGACTTATATTTGGCTTCTACTCCAAGAGCCAGATATTTCAAATGAAAAGAGATGGCCTTTTGGCTGACACGAAGCTCTCAGGATAAGAATTGTTTAACTTCTGGTTGGCTCCTCATTCATGGCCCAAGAGCAAGAGAAGTATATTTTTTCTGAGAATTTGAAAACTTCCCAAGCTATAAATGACACTCATTTGCATTTCTTTTCAGCAGAGGAGGTGGACCATGGGCGAAGCCTCTGTTGATGAGGATTAAACTCACAAAACAGGATGAGTTAACGTAATTCTTAGAGTTGTGCCAACATTACCAGCTACTAATATGGAGTATCATTGGCACTAGCTTGCCAGTGGGCTTAGGAACCTTCTGGTCTGCATTCAGCTGACATTAGTTAATTACCTGCATAGCCATTCATGCTGTCAGGATTACTTTACAGCATTTTTAACAAAAAAAAAAAAAAAAAAAGAAGAGGAATACAAAGAGAAAAGAAATAAAATTCTGATTTTGAAAAAAAAATTCTTCTACATTCTTCTAAGCAATGGATGTTATGCTTAGAATCATACCTAGTGCTATAGACTGTGCCCCACCCCTGCCTCCCCCGATTCATATGTTGAAATCCTAACCCTTAACATGATGGTATTAGGAGGTGAGATCTTTGTTAGGTGATTAGATCATGAGGGAGGAGCCCTCATGAATGGGATTAGTGCTTCTATAAAAAAAGACCCTCCCACTCCCCTTCTGCCAAGTGAGAACCCACAAATACTGCTGTCTATAAGGAGGACCCTTAAAAGACACAAAATCTGCTATTTTCTTGATCTTGAACTTCCCAGCTTCCAGATGTGAGAAATAAATTTCTGCTGTTTGTGAGCCACAGTCTGTGGCACTTTGTTATAGCAGCCTAAACAGACTAATATATCTGGGTTACAGCAAATCATTTATATCAATGGTTTCTCTGAGCATGTCTGCCAAAAAAGGAAATGTCAAAATCCGTAAAATTGGGAGTGAAAACATAATATCCAAAGAGAAAATCAGGGTTTCAAATTATGAGATAATGAGCTGAAAATCAAAGTAAGATACAACACAGCTGGACATCAACTCCCTCAATTCAACAAATAAGTCAATTACCAAATTTTTGAATGTTGCAGGCATGAATTATTACTCTTGTGAAAAATATGAAGGAGAATTGAGTTGCCCATAAGACTGTTATGAATCAGTTGTCTAAAGTGGCACTAGACTATATAAAATTTCCTTGGAGTTGAAAGTCATGTCTTCTTTGAGTTATCACTGATACTGAGCATAGTTTATGAAAATGTCAGGAATGAATACTTATTTGTGAAATGAGGAATGTTATTGCTAAAACTGCAGTGTGATCTTAGAGGTATAGTACAAGAACTCTGAACCAGTGAGGGAAACATTGGCAAAAAAGAGACAAGATAAATGTGACGAGGATGCAGAAGTATGTAGAAACCACATTCTAGAAGAAACAAAGAAGTAGAGGCTTGTGTTTCTTGGCAAAGTAAAAATTTAGTAGGGGGAAGCTCCATGACAGTTGCACTTAGTTTTCTGAAGAGATTAAGACTATTTATTTTATTTCTAGAGAATAAATTATTTTCATCAGAGGCAAATTTTACTTAGATATAAGGAAGAATTTTAAAATATGTATGGCAGAAGCTGTCAGTTGTCCTCCAATATCCATTTTATCTTTTTTTTTTTTTTCATTGTAGTAGAATCTTTGATTTTTTTGACAGGCCTAGACTAAAGACTTCCTCTTATTCATGTGTGACTGGAATGTGACTGAGTTCTGGTCAACTGCAAATAAGCAGTCATGATGCGTGCAACTTGCAGTTGGACTCTCAAAAGGAAGAGTGTACCTACCTCCCTACTTCTTCTCCTTTTTGCCAGTGAGAATGTAGACTCGTTATGATTAGAGCTAAGAAAGCCACCTTGAACCATGAGATGCAGGCTGCATTTTGAAAACAGTGGAGCAAAAGACAGATATAACTAGGGTCTCTAATATTTGTAGAGCTGCCATATCAAACTTGGACCTCCTACTCAGAAAAACAAACCACTATATAATTAAAACCACTATTATTTTGGGTCTTCCTTTGACAGCAGAAGCAGCAACACTTTATTTGTCCATTCTTTCCAAAAAGTAGTTTGGAAGGTAGAGACCTCCTATTAGCAGGAGGAGTTCAAACAGAACTACTATGGAGGAAAGTATCTAATTCAATAGGTGATCAGACATGATACCCTGTATAATTCCTGTCATCTTGGATATGGGGCTTTTGGAGGACACTGGTAAAGCTTACGTCAGTCCAGCACATGTTAGAACATACTTCTTTTATGATTTAAATTGCAATAAAAGACAGAAAACCATGTTATGTGAAGATTAGATAAAGAGGACATATAACTCTGAGAAAGATAAGTGTTAGCAGGTTGGTGTGGGTTGGCATGTGGGAGCTATCTTCACTTAGCTGGTAGGGTGTAGGTTCAAGAAGCAAATTCTTCTTTTGGTCTCCGGAGGACAGTATTTAGATAAGTGAATGAAAACATCAGGATTACTGTTGGAACCATGACTGCCTGAGCAGGCTTCTTTTCATCTAGCATGAATATCAACCAAGACTTGGACTTTTTACATTAAATATCATTTTGTTGGTTTGAATTCAATTTAATGTGGTCCTTTGGACTTCTTGTAATGATATATGATCTGGCAAAAGTTTTACCAAAACCCAGGTATGACCTATTCTTTCTGCTTATTAAAGCTAAGAATTAATGAAGTGCCATTTTTTTTGAGGGAAATGCCAAAGATTGCTATGAATTAATCTTAAGTGAATAATCTTCATCTCTCCTGTTGAGGGCTCTGATATAGAGTTTTATGTGTAATATCTCCATGGGTTTAGTAGATTTCACATCCTGGAAAATCTGAGAGTAATCCTTATTCCAATCATATCTTAGTCATATATCTTTCAAGCATGACATACAAAGAATTATAGTAATGAACTTTGTCAACCAAATGAAAAAAATCTAACATTAACACAGTGATTGGAATAAGGAACTGGCAGATCCTCATGTTCCTCTTTGCAGCTGTATTTCTGGTCTTAATGTGGAGCTCAAACTGTGGGAAAGTCTTCCTCTTGAGTGCCCTTTTGTTACTGCTACTTTGTGATATAAACCCATATGATGGATTTTCTTGTCCCTCCTCTAGCTCTGTAAGCCATGCAGTCGGTTGGCATGACTCCAATTTCCACAGACCCACATTTTATTAGGTGCAACCTTCCAGAATAGTTCGAGGAGAAGTAAAACTGTATGTCTCTTTCACTCTCACCATCAGTTTTGCCTACCCTTTCTAAATGTATATCTGTATCTCTTAAGGATCACTTCTGGTTTCCTTTGCAAGTTTATTCTTCTTCTACAAGCCAACGTTTTGTTTAACTATTCATTCACCCAGCAAACATTTACTGAGCACCATTTCCAATACACATATTCTGCCATGCACTTAGAATACAGATATGAATATGACCCATTTATTCATTCAACAAATGCTTATTATGCTAGGCGGCATGTATACAATAGTAAGCAAGATAGATTCTCAAAGACCTTTAAGCTAGTGGGGAAGTTTTAACCCAAGGGAGGAATACCGACGCATCAAATAGTTGTTAGCATTTATGGAAACGTTACTTAGTCCCAGTTACTGTTATAAGTACTTTACGTGCATTGTTTCATGAAATCATCACATGAACTAACCAGGCAGGTAGCTTCTGTGTCCTCAGTTTACAAAGGAAGGAACTGAGGATCACAAAGATGAGTAATATGCCCAAGGTGACACAGCCATTACATGGTGGAGCTGATTGTATTGACTCTAGACCCTGCATTATTACCTGCCAGTGGATATGGGAATAGACTGCCCATGTAGGGAAGAGTATTTTATCACTAAGATTGTTTAGAATTGCAGGTACATGAAACTTTCAGTCTGTTTTTATTTTTTTTCACATTCTTCATAAACAATGCATCCTTTATTGTCTGCACCCAGGGCAGACCATGCCTACTACTCCTCTTGGTCCTTCACCTGCTCCTGACCATATATGCTGCTGCTTCCTGAGATCGCTGTAACACATGGGGGAGAAATGTCAGCTATGGGAGCCTGAATGAAATTAATTAACCCAGAGGGTTAGAAGAAGTTGGAGGAGTTAAGCTAAACCTTAAATGGTTAGTAGAAGTTTTCTAAGCAATGTGGGTGAGAGGTCAGGGGTTCAGGAAAGGGCACTCCAGGCAGAAGGAACTGCTTGAACAAAGGCTTGGAGACAAAAACAATACGTGCAGAAACTGACAAATAGTTTGGTGGTACCGGATCCAAAAGTCAGAGACAAAAGTTGCCTGTGGGAAGTAAGCAGGGGCCAGATTGCAGATAGGCATCCATGGAAGGTTAAGAAGCTTCAGCATCATCTGAGTGCAGTAGGGTCGCTGAGAGGATCTAAACAGGAGTGATCCAATCAGATTGGAGTTTTAGCAAACTACATTGGAGGATGGATTTCAGGGAGGCAAGACAGAGATGTTTTCTTCTCCAGCTTCTGTTTCTGAATCCCATACCTCTCCAAATATCTTCCTGTATCATCATCAGGGAACAGCTAAGATGGGAAAGTCAGAAACTATTTGGATAGCAGATTGGGAATCCTCTTCAAAAATGCAACAGCACTGGCCAAGGAGCTTTTGCTTAGAGCATATGACCCGGGACAGTCATGGTTAATCTGAGGAAGGCTGCACATCTGAATAAAAGCATCTCTGTGAGCTAACTGTGTCAGCTTCTCACTCCAGCCGATAACAAATTACTCCAACTCTGGCAGAGGTGCACTTGCTGGCTATTTCATGTGGTAACACTGGATTTGCAACATGAAACACTAGTGTTAGCTAAGGGTATAGCTAGCAATTTCAAATTGGTACACACAGCAGTCAATCTATTGCTCCCCATCCCCATCGTCCCCCAAAGTAGGCTTGCCATTAAACACAGTGTGAGATCCTGCCTAGTGGGGATGCTTCTACCCACAGCCAGCTGCATACCCTCCACCATCTCCCCCTTCCTCTCTCTCTCTCTCTCTGCTTCTATGTCTCTCTCTTACAGACACAAGAGAAATAATACAAATTGGCATTTGAATGGCACTTTTGAGTTACTTTTTGTTGAGCCTCTTGCTTTTTCACCTCTTCAGAGTACATAGGAGGGGAGGAAAGAAGACAAGGAGAGAGAAAGGAAGGAAGGGAGGGAGGTAGTAAAGGAAGACACATTTTCTGTACCCAAAAGGACAATTTATGGGGACTAGTGAGGGAGAAACTGAGAAGTCAGCCAACTTCACATCAGAAAGCACTTACAGAACTCCTATGCTAGGCTCAAAGACGATTAAGGCAGGCTTTCTAACCTCAAGTTGCCCTAGTGTGGGTGTGGAGACACATGCAGCATGCAAAGTGACAAAGGCATTTGATTAGTACAGAAGCAGCCCCAAGGAGGGACTAGAAGAGAAAGAGGATCTTAAAAAGGGGGTAACTTGGCTGGGAAGTTTTCAGCACATACACAAGGGAGGAGAAAACATTCTAATCACAGATGGCATCATGAGCAGAGATACAGAGGTAGGAGACAGCTTTGCATAATACCAGAATCAGAAGTCATCCAGTGGCGGAACAGAAATTGTGAGATGTAGAAAGGGAACAGTATGAGATGAGACCCAAGAGTTGGTCACATGGCAGAGTAGAGGGGCCTGGGAACATGGTGCCAGAACAGAATCCATGGGCTTTTTCCTAATGAAAAGAGGGAGCTAGTGAGGGTTTTTAGTGGGGAAGAGACATCATCAGATCCATGTCACTAAAATATTCTTTCTATGGCAGCGTGGGGGATAGGTTGTAGAATGGAAGGAGCAGATAGGGAGATATAAGAGAGTGTCTATGGAAAACGTGATGACCCTGAATTTCAGTGTTGTTAGTGGAGATAGATAAAAGGGTTGAGTTTAAGGAATAGATAGTTGATGACTATAATGGGTAATTATATTTATACCTGTCAGTTCTCCACTTGCTATGGTCTGAATGTGTCTCTTCAGAATCCATGTGTTGAAACCAAATCCACAATGCAATAATCTTAAGAGGTGGGGACTTTAGGAAATGATTAGACTATGAGGGCGGAGCTCTCGTGAATGGAATTAGTTCCTTTATTAAAGAAAAAAAAAAAGGCCCAAGGAAGCTCATTTGCTCCTTCCACCATCTGAGGACACAGCTAGAAGGCACCATCTATGAAGCAGAGAGTGACCCTTCATCAGACACTGAAGCTTCTTGATCTTAGACTTGCCAGCCTCCAGAACTGTAATACATTTCTGTAGTTTATAAGTTACCCAGTCCAAGGTATTTTGTGACAGTAGGCTGAAAAAATTAAGGCTGTGAAACTATGTTTTACAAATTATGAATATTAAACCAGTTCTATGTTTTTCTGTCTTCCTTTTATTTTTCATATAAGGTAGCAGCTGCAGCATTGTGGTTAATTCTGCCAACTCTGGGATCGCACAACCTGAATGCAGATCTCACCTCCACTGCATACTGGCTGTAGGTCCTTTGCATAAGAAATATAATTTCTTATTACCTTGTTTATAAAATGAAGGCATATATAATGATGTTACTCATTTCACTGGATAGTCTATGCACAAAGAGAAGCAAAATTGTGACGTGATTTTAATTTTAGTTGCTGGAGACAGATTGCTTGGGTTTGTATTTCTGTCTTACCATCTTCTACCTGTGTGACTTTGAGCAAGTCACTTAACATTTACCACAGGTTTTAGAAAGGCAATCATTTCTTAAGCAAATGGTTAAATGTCCTATTTTTATGATATTTTTCAACTGTCATCTTTGAGTAGCTGTAGTTTCAGGTTCTGAGTCAAGAGAATCCATTATTAAAATTATAATTGCTTTCATTTGCATATCACTTTACAGTTTAGTAATTTCCTCGTTGTCACTGGCCAGTCCTTTTGAGATTTTCTGTGGAGTCACCAATGGAATAGTGGTAACTAAAATATTTCAGCAGCTAGAACTGACAAATTGATGGTCAATGTTTATCTTGTACCTCCTTCCTATAAGCACATGTTATAGAGACAGCTATTACACAGTAGAAATTACTTGGAAAGAAGAGTTCAATGACCTGGGTTTAAATCTTAATCCTGTCATTTATCAGTGAGGTGGCTTGGTAAATTGCTTAAAATCTTTTGACCCTATAGAGTTTCATGTATAAGCATCATTATTGAAAATGCATATACAGATGGATCAACTGGAGCTTTGGAGGTCAGGGAAAATCCAGAAAAAAGGAAGAGAAGGAAAGATTCTCTGGAAAAGAAAAATAGTCCTATAATATCTGATTAATTTTTCAAGTTACTCTCTGTATATGCAACTCAGGGACTAGGAATTCTCTGATGTTGGCCACTTCTGTATCCTTAATTTTTAAAAAGCTAATAAGGGCTCAGGAAGTCTTCTCCAAGGTAGTATCCAATAACACTTCCTCCTTTCCCCCTTTCAGGGTGCAAAGGAATCTAGTGAAAGCATGTTAATTTTGGAGTCACTAAATCTGAGTTCAAGTTCCAGCTCTGCTCCATTCTAATTATGTGATCTTGAGTAAGTTAAGTAACCTCAGAGGTTCCAGCTTCTTCATGTGTCGTAAAGTCATTGAAAGGCTTCATAAATGAATGTGGACCTCCCCACACAGATCTTGGCATATAGCAAAGGCTCAATGTCCCTTTTGTTCTGTATTTCCTTTCTTCTTTCCTTCCATCAATTGGTCTTTCCTTCCTCTCACCCTCCTTTCTGCTGGCTCCCCTGACCCTCTGCTCCTTTGACTAAGTGGATTCAGTTCTGGAGACAGAATGGCTTATGGTTCATTTCAGGACACAGATATTTTGAGCTGTTTGTTTTCCAGCTTACAGTCATGTTTTCCAATTCAGGTTACGTTTCCTGCTGGAAAACTGGGCCCTCACAAGAGCTTTTGGCAGTCACAGACTGATTTGGTTGAGAACTATCCCTTCCTTGGCAGGCAGTTGAGGAGAGCCACTCTGTGTGTGCGGGTGGTAATTCACACTCCTTCTCCGAGGTTGGACTGCTCCCCAAAGCCACTACCCACACAGCTCCATCTCCCTTGATATAGAGACACCCTTTTCCAGCTTAATGGTTATATGCTTCCTTGGAAGTAGAATGCAGAAGGACTGAAATAGATAAAGCTTAGCTTTGCTCATCTTCTTTGTCAGAAGCTGGGTATGAACTATTGGGCTTTAAAGACCCTGGAAAGGAGATGATGGGGAGAAAAGCCTCAGCCATTCCTGTAATTCTGTGGAAATTGATGCTCATTTACTGGGACATCCCGTGGTTCCTAGACCTTGCCTCTTATTAGTCTCTGCTGGCTTTGATACTTGATACTGGATTTATCTGAAACTTGGGTGGTCATACTTGGTACTGCCTACACTTTATGTCCCTTCCTAGTCTTGTTTCCCAGTGCTAATTACCGTCTCTTGCCTTCCAGTCCAGAAGAGCTTGCTAGTGTTTTATCTTAGCCTTTTTTTTTTTTTTTTTTTTTTAGTCTTCCCTTTAATGTTTCCATCTTGAGCCTAATTTAACATGTCTGAAAACAAACACAGTAACTGTATCCCAGCTTTTCCTGTCCTCCTCAGTTCAGGGAACACCATCATTAGCCCAGGAGTATAAGCTGGAGACCTGGGGATTATTTTAGATTCTTCCATGTTTCTTTCTGTCCTCAGTCATCTAGAACTGGCCAGTTCCTAAATATCTCTTGAATTTTTTTCTTCCTAATCTCAATTTCCCAATTCCACTACTCAGGTATAGACTTTATTATTTCTCATTTTTATTATTGCAAAATCCTTCTGTGATTTTTAATCTTATATATCAACTTGGCTGGCCAAGGGATACCCAGATAGCTGGTAAAACATTATTTCTAGGTGTGTCTGTAAGATTATTTTCAGAAGAAATTAGCATTTGAATCAGTTAGCTAAGTAAAGAAGATCTGACCTCACTGACATGGGCAGGTATCATCTAATTTGTTGAGGACCTGAATAGAACAGAAAGGTGGGAGAAGGGCTAATTTTTTCTCTCTTTTTCTCCCTCTCTCTTGGCTTGAGCTAATACATCCATCTTCTCTTAACCTTGGACATTGGAGCTTCTGGTTCTTAGACCTTTAACCTTGGACTGAAACTTATACCATTGGTTCTTCTGGTTCTCAGGACTTTCGACTTGGTCTAAGTTTCACCGCTAGCTTTCTTGGTTTTCCAGCTTGCAGATGGCATATCATGGGATTCCTTGGCCTCCATATTTATGTGAGCCAGTTCCCATAGTAAATCTCCTCCTATATATCTTTATATAGCCTGTTGGTTCTGTTTCTCTGGAGAACCCTAATTCATTTCCCTCCTTCTTTTTTTGCATAGTTTCTAATCCAGTGTATTTGAAACCCAAATCTGATTATGTATCTTTATTACCTAAAATCTCTGTCACTTCCACAATCATTAACCATGAGATTAAATTGAAATGCAGGAAATAAGTTCATTGTCTACTTCTTCCTATCTTGCACTTTGGCTTCAATATACTGAGTTCCAGAAAACCCTGGGAAATGTTATGACTCCTGTACCATTGATCTTGTAATTTCTTCTACCTACAAAGTCCTCTGCCACATATTCTGCCTTTTTCATTCATTCATTCAAGAAATTATCAGTTCCAAAACCTAGTGAAAGAAATCCTTTTGTTTAAAACAGAGTTCGAAAACACTAAACTCAGTATTCCCTAAAGTACTTTCTAGCTTGAAAATCCATGATTCTGTGAAATCTTGCATTTCATATTCAGAGTCACCTTCTTTCTCTCATCCTTTTTTTTTTTCTTTTTTGGATGTCAGAAAAATATCTGCCTTAGAAACTGTGCTGTGGGCTGACAATGCCCTTTAATGGAAGTTAGAAATTGAAGATCAAATGCACAGAAGTATCACCAGCACTGTTTGTAGAAATGAGACTCAGAGCAGAAATGGTGAGGAAAAAAATGCCCCATTTCTGGTAGAAAGAAAATGTAAGGCCTGAGATCTCATGGGACTTGACATTTCCATCTATCATGGCCGGCAAGCATGGAAGGGAAATGACTTGGTTGAATGTAAATCCTCTGGATCTAGTTAACCGTTTGGAAATCATGAATAACAATCACCTTCTCCATTAAGATCCAATTCTTGTCACTAACCATAACAAATACATGTCATATTGTCTGTGCATCAATGTTTCAAGATTCTTCAGTAACAATCCCCTGGGATATATATGCATGTACAAGCTCATGTGCACAACACACACACACATGAACTTATATACCTCTTTATCTTCTAAAATACAAACTAAGGTTGACTGATAATTAGATAGAGAAGCTGTGTTGCTGTCTTTCCCAGAGAGGGTTTAGACATCTGGGTCCTGCAAATTTCTTTGCCTTCTTGTTTCATTATCTATGCTCCTCGTGCTTTGCCATGCTCCCACATTTACCAGGCTGGCTCCTGCAGCTCCCTCTCCCAATACCAGCTCCACAGTCTCCCTTGTTCTGATATACAGTCTGGCTTCCCACCTTGTTGTCCTGGCACACTCACTTGGACTTACTCACCCTTTGATTCAATTTGCTTCCAAATGTTCTAGGAAACCCATCTCTCCAATTTCCATTTCAAGTCCCCTGTCTGGGGAATCCACCTCAGCAATAGCTGCTGGCCTTGTCATAGCCCAGCTGGGCCAGATATTAAGCTACTGTCTTCTGGCTTCCAACCCACTATTCTGCACTCAAGATTTGTGATGCTGGGACCGGGAGCCTGTAACTTCATTTCTGCTTTGCCACCTGGCTCTATGATAGGTTCTGTTAATAAGGAACACCAGAGGGAAACTGCAAGCCAGGAGAAGGAAGAATGGACTTTCTCCTTCCTGTCTGCTTCTCATATGCTTTTGATGAATCACCCCAGGCTCCCTTCTTAACCCAAGCAGCAGCTGTTTGCTTCTGCTACAGTAGAGGAATTGATTTTTTTTCAATGCTCAACGAATCAGCCCATAGCACCTTCCTTAGAGACACAAGCACAGCCCAGGAGAGGGCACCCCCAGTCTCAGAGATCTGAGGGTCTGTGGGACCTATTCCATTCTTTGGATCTTCCTTCATTCATGGGACCCTCATTCACCTTTCTAAATTTTAATAACTTCAGCCTTTTTTCTTTGTTCCCCCAGATAGTAGCTCTTCCAATACTATCTCTGTGATACCTTAGTATATCTTTTTTGCCTTTTTAGATATCTAGTTAACAATTCTTTATACCTAGATAACAAATTTTGTGTTAAATTCTGTTAAAATAACTGGTGTAATTTCTTCCAGTGAGACACCAGCCATGGAGGTGATTTGCAGAGGGATTCTCTTAAAACTCCAAACTTATCCACACATTTGCTGACTTTGTTGATATCAATCCCTCCCTCAAACGCTTTAGGGGAGTTGTGAACACTAATGCTGGAATCTCAAGTATTGGGCTGGGTCACTTGCCTATCCATTTGGGTAACTAAGGGAGCAACAACATTGTCCAATCTGTTTTGTACCCCACTGGGTCATGGCAGTGCCACCCTGAGTTCAGGCATGACTGTTGGTAGAGACTGGGCTTGGCACAGGAACCTTATAAGAAATGCTCACCAGGCACTGTGGTCAGCAGAGTGGACACTGGGTGTCTCGTAAGCAAGAGATGTTAGCTCTTCCTTTCTCTATATCAGCACTGATGGTACCTATCTTTGCAAGATGGGAGAGAGAGCTTGTGTTCACAGATGCTTGGTTTTCTCCTGTTTTAGCACATGGCTGGTTTGTACTTTTATACCCACCTTGAAATTATCTGTGGTCATAGAATTTTGCTTTTGTCAGTGATATGTGAATGGAAATGATATGTGGCAATTCTGGGTGGAAGCTTTAATGTGCAGTGTGAAAGTTGGTATGTTCATCTGTTTTTTTTTCCTTCCTCACTCCCCCTCCGTTCCTCCTCCTCCTCCTTTCTCTTTCCTTCTCCTCCTTCCTCTTTTCTCCTCCTCCTTCCTCTTTCCTCCTCCTCCTTCCTCCTCCTCCTTTCTCCTCCTTCTTCCTTCTCCTTTCTCCTCCTTCTTCCTCCTCCTCATTCCTCCTTCTTCCTCCTCTTTCTTCCTTCTCCTTCTTCCTCCTCCTTTTTCCTCCTCCTTTTTCCTCCTCCTTCTTCCTCCTCTTTCTTCCTCCTCCTCCTTCTCCTTCTTCCTCCTCCTTTTTCTTCCTCCTTCTTCTTCCCTCTTCCTCCTCCTCCTTCTTCTTCCCTCTTCCTCCTCCTCCTCCTTCTTCTTCCCCTTTCTTCTTCCTTTTCCTCTCCTTCTTCCTCTTCCTCTTCTCCTTCCTCTTCCCCTCTCCTTCTTCCATCTTCTTCTTTCTTTTGACTGTTTTAAAGGATCTGTTGATTTTGAGTCTCTGAGGGTCTATGGTAAACTGATTTCTTATTTTGTCTTCTGACACTGCTCTAGACATGTAGCCAATTGAGAAACAGATCTTTATTATATTAAGCCATGGAGGGCTGAAGGATACTGTTACCATACATGGTCCTAGCAGGAGAAAAATGCATTAGAAATATAGGAAGCTGAAGTGAAAAGTTCATCCTGGTGAGGGGTAATGGTAGTTGAGAGCCTGTTTTTCTGAATTCATACCTGGTTTTAACTCTTGACTTTGATATTATTTAACTGTGTGATATTAAACCAGCTCCTTAAGTTCTCTAAGCCTGTTTTCTCTTCAGCAAAATAGAAATATTATTACCTACCTGTAGGATTGTTAGGAAGATAGGTAGAGAGAGAGAGATAGATAGATAGATACATACATGCATACATGCATGCATGCATACATACATACATGCATACCTGGCCTCACATTTGACTCAGAACATTCATTCATTTGTTAATTTGAAATTCATGTACTATTCCCTCGTTTTATAACAGGCACAGGGCCAGCCACTACAGAGAGTGGCGAAAACATCAAATTAGACAGAATACAAAGTCAACTACTACAAGCGACAAAGAGATGTACTATATCCATCTCTATCCCATGTATATAACACAGATCCTAACATAGAACAGCTATCCAGGTCATCTAGTGGAGAAAATATAAAGCAGTAAAATATTTAATAGAGATGATATAATAAAAAGACATGGGAGCCAGGGAGATGAAGACCTGTGGATCAAGCAGCTTGGGTTTATAATAAACTCTTTCACCTAGGAACTAAGTGAACTCAGATAAGGAACTTAACCTTTGTTTCCTCATCTGTGACAAGGATGTGATAATTATATAAATAGGGGATTATTTTAAAGAATTAGATA
Organism: Homo sapiens; assembly: GCF_000001405.40. NCBI lineage: Eukaryota > Metazoa > Chordata > Mammalia > Primates > Hominidae > Homo > Homo sapiens. The sequence continues at coordinate 106,234,415 of NC_000009.12, forward strand.
TGCAAGCTGTTGTAAGTCATCAGCTGTTGACATTATTCATGGTAAGAGTTTAGATGTTGGTGTTGGAATTCTCCCTTCACATGGAAGAGCTAAGGGACAGCTTCATTCTCTCAGTCAGGTTCTCTTATATCTTCTTCTATTTTGGTTTAAAACCACAAGCTGCTCCTGTCCACTCAATCCTGTTCCCACCCCGGAGAGATGTGTAGTATTTTTCTTGGATAGTTCAGCCTTACTTATTCCATTTTAACATTTCCTGAATATGTCTTTTATGTTAGGATCATGCAGGGAATAGAAGTAAATATAGTACATCTCTTTGTAGTTTGTAGCTGACTGTATATACATTCCATCTTATTTGATTTTTCCCCCTCTCCATAGTGGCTGGTCCTGTGCCTGGTATAAAATAAGGGAATAGTATATGAATTTTGAATTAACAAATGAATGGATGTTCTGAGTTGAATATGAGGCCAAATTTTTATCTATCTATCTATCTATCTATCTATCTATCTATCTATCTATCTATCTATCTATCCATCCATCCATCCTATCATGTCTCTATCTTATCTATCATCTGTCTAACCTATTTAGCAATATTTTGGATTTGTAGAACTATAAGAATTACCTAGGATAGGAATAGAAAACACTGGGATCAAAATCTTCTTGTAACAATACCTAGGCAGAGAATAAGAGAGGGTGTGGTGGCATGAACAAATTGTTTACCTTACACAATTGTATTCTTGAACACATTATTTAATACCTTTGAATCTCAACTTCATTTGAGCAATGTTTTATCTTTTTTTGATCTGTTAACATACCTTATAAGATTGTGAGGTAGAATAACCATGTATCAAAATACCCAGTATTGTGACAGACTCTTGTAGACTAAATGTTTGTGTCTCCCTGCAAATTCATATGTTGAAATTCTAACTCCCAAGGTGATGCTATTAGGAGGTAGAAACTTTGGGAGGTGATTAGGTCATAAAAGCATGATACTTATGAATGGGATTAGTGCCCTTATAAAAGAGAACCCAGAGAGACCTCCGTTCCTTCCACCATGTTAAATTACAGTGAAAAGATGGACTTCTATGAAGAGGGACTTCACCAGACACTGAATCTATTGATGCCTTGATCTTGGACTTCTCAGCCTCTAGAACTGTGAGAAATAAATTTCTATGGCTTATGAGCCACTCAGTTTATGGTAGTCTGTTATAGCAGCTCAAATGGACTAAGACAATGATACACTATATATCTTCAATAAATAGCATATTCTGTTTATTTTATTACCATAAGTTTTAGGATGGGGACAAATAATCATCATCCAAAAGGTTTCTTCATATTTGTGAATGAGATAATATTTGGGGGACAGAAAAAGAATGAAAGAATGGATGTATGTTGACTGGCCTCTCTCCATAATTCCCTTCCTCTTATAGCTGGGAGAGGAGATGCCTTCAGATTCAGATTCATCCCTCACCTCTTTTTCATGTATATAGGACAGGGTATAACCCTAACCTCTTCATATGAAAAAAGTAAATAACCCTAACCTCTTCATATGAAAACCCCTCACCTTTTATATATATATATGTCACACTATGTTGCCCAGGCTGGTCTCAAATTCCTGGGCTCAAGCGATCATCCACACTCAAGCCTCAGCCTCCCAAGTAGCTAGGACTACAAGTATCCTAATCTCTTTTCCTTCAGAATAAAGTAGACTTTAAAATAGAAGAGAGAAGGGATAGATGGGCTGGGAGAAAAGAGAATAGAAAAAAAAGGAATTCCAGTTTTCAACAGTAAGCTAGAACATAGTTACAAGTTTATGAGAGGATTCTGCAATGGGTAGATGCCTCATCAAGAAATAACAGGCATTTTGAGATTTTAATGTTCAATTTAAGGGAAACAGCCTTTCAAGAAGTCATATCAGTTTTCTGGATTCCAGATAGAGTAAGAAATGAAACTAAAATTTGGGGCCTGAGCTTAATTTATTTTTTGAATAGATTTGACCCAATATAAGCTGTGTACATTTCTTTTTTCACCATGATAACTAATCTGGGCTTATTCTTACAGTTTTCAAAATAACTTTTGCTTTGATATAATATCAAATTTATAGAAAAATTGCATGAATAGTTAAAAAATCCCATATTTCCTATATCCAGATTCAACAAGTGTTTCTATTTTGCTCCATTTGTTTTATCATTCTCATATATGTATATGTGTGTCTGATATGATATATATGTGTTGCATATTAGAAAGTGAGAAACATATACGTGTATATGTGTGTATGAGCCCACATTAGCTATTAGTAAAGCACACAGCAATACATGTTCAGTTATTTATAATATTTCCATATTATTTCTGAAGAATCCTTTTTTTTTTGAGATGGAGTCTCACTCTGTTGCCCAGGCTGGAGTGCCATTGGTGTGATCTCGGCTCATTGCAACCTCCACCTCCTAGGTTTAAGTGATTCTCCTGCCTCAGCTTCCCGAGTAGCTAGGATTACAGGTGCCTGCCACCACGCCCAGCTAATTTTTGTATTTTTGTAGAGATGAGGTTTTGAAGTCTTATGATTAAGTACATTCATATTCATAATCCTGATGTTTTGTAGATAAATTGACTCCTGTATAGAAGATGTCTATCTTTATCTCCATTCAAGTTCTTTTTCTTGAAAGTCTATTGCAGATGATATTAGCATAGTGATCTCACCTTACTTATAGTTAGTGTTTTCATAATGTACCCTTTCCGCTTTTTACATTTTATTTTTGTTTTCATATTTAAAAATTGCCTTCTGTTCACAGCATATGAGTCTTGATTTTTTTAATGTTGCCTAAGAATGTTTGCCTTTTGAGAGTTTAGTCCATTATATTAATGTATTGATATTATTGAATTAGATCTATCATATTTTCATTTGTTCCAACTATTTTTTGTTCCTCTATTCTACATTTCCCGCCTTGTTTCGTGAAAGTCGAACAAATTTTAATACTCAATTTTACTTCAAATAATGACTTTTTAACCATGCATCTTTTTAACTAATTGTTCTGCTTTCAACTGCTGATTACTATATGCATCTTTAACTTTTCAGTGTCAAGTTTTTATTCCTTCAAATGAACTATAGGAAAGTTGCAACAGTATAGTTTCATTAACATCATTGTCTATAACAGTGCAAACTTTCCTTTGCATTATTATAAACATATTATATACACATATATGCACATCATGTAATCTGCATACCATACACACCATAACAAAATATTATAATTGTTTTATTTAAACAGTCCTATATTTTTGAAGAAAGTAAAAAAGAAAAAATGCTCCCTTATATTTATGCAATGCTTATTATTTTTAGTGCTAGTCATTTCTTTTGTTGATCTATCTGAATTCCTATCTGATATTACTTCTTCTCAGCCAGAGAACTTCTTTCAGCTTTTTTGAATGGTAATCTGCTGGCTACACATTTTCTCAGTTATTGTTCATTTGAAATGTTTTTATTTTGCTGTACTATTTTGGGGATAATTTCCCTGGATATAGAGTTCTTGGTTGTCAGTTTTATTCTTTCATCATTTTAAAGGTGTCCTTCCACTGGATTGTGGCCCTCATTGTTTCTTGTGAGAAATCAGTGAAATTCACATGATTTTGCTTCTGTACATAATGTGTAATTTTTCTCTGGCTGCTTTTAAGATTTTTTTTATTTATAGATTCCAGAATTTAATATTATGTTATGGTACAGATTATATTTATTCTTCTTTTGATTTATTAGACTTCTTGAATTTATAAATTAAACTTTCTCAAGTAATTTGGGAAATTTTTGGCCATTATATTTTTAAACATTTTTCTCTGCTTCATTCTTCATTTGCCTTCCTCTTGGAAGTCTTATTACAAATTTATTAGACTGGTTGATATTATTTAGACTGCTTGATATTATCTCCAAGGTAACCAAAGCCCTGTTCAGTTTTATTCAAAAATTTTCCTCCCTGCTTTTTAGTTTGGATCATTTCCACTCATCTATCTTTGAGTTCATTGTTTTTCTTTCTTCTGCCAATTTAAATTTTCTGTTTTTTTATTTCATTTCTAAAGTCTTTATCTAGTTTTTTTTAATATAATTACTATTTGTTTGCTGTTATTTCCCATTCTTCTTTCATTAAAATATCTGTTTTTAGAAGTTCATGAGCATACTGCCCTGTTTTGGAGTATAAGTGACATATTCTTGTTACTCAGCATGTCTAGTAATTTTTTATTATATGAAGACATAAAAGATATTGTGGAGACTCTAGATTTTGTTATCTATTTTTGAAGAATGTTGATATTTGTTCTAGCACACAATTTGGCTAGACTTGAACTCCAAACTCTGTCTTTCCTGCATGGGAAATAGTTGAAATCTGTGCTCAGTTCTTTAAGTTTTCAGCTTCTGTATTCTTCCATGTTCAGCAGTTAAGTAATGAGATTTGGCAGAGTTTATTTATATGTTGTGTCCTTACTTCCTCTGTTGCTCCTTTGTTTCTTAGGACACCTCACCCCCAACTTTTCAATGGTTTGCCAGCTCAGAGCTCTATTTTCTGACCCCTCAAGGTAGTAAGATTGAGTTTTCTACTGCCCTGAGCTACAGGGATTGAGAAATGCCCTCAGTAGAAATTTGCTAACTCACAAATCTCACCAAGGCCCTTCCTGTTTTAAAAGGAATAATCTCCCATCCATTTCCTTCCTGCTTCTGATATTCTCCAGTGCTTCTTAAATATTTTACACAGATTTAATTATTGCTATCTGTAGAAGAGTTAGTCTGGCCAAGCTACTTTGCCATTACTGAAAGCTGGAGGCTTCTTAAATTTACTTTGTCTTTCTTCTTACTCAGTCCTTGGCGCCTTTTAAAATCTTAACAACCTCTTTGAGAAGTCAGCTATAAACAGCCATAATATATAACACTGTATTGTGCTTTCATTTTATGAGGATTTTTTATGTATATTTTTTCTCTTTTAGACCTTGACTCAATCTAGTTAGAAAGATATTTTTACTATTCCCATTTTATAGATGAAGAAACTGGAATCCAGAGACACTATCTTGTCCACATTTATGCATCTAGTAAAGGAAATCATCATTCTTTGATTTCTGTTCTGTCAATTGAGGTCCCATGCTTTTGCCACAACACCAAAGCTGTGTCCAAAGAGAATTTTTGCTTTATATCTGAGGCCTAGGTAGCTTTAATGAGCTGCTCATAAGAAATTCATTATCGAAATGGCTGAATGAAGACAAGAAAGGGCAATTCTTCTCTGAGGGCTGGGCAAGCATCACTGTGCAAGTTCTGGCAATTCTCAATGATTTTTCAGCACATAGAATTTCCCAAATCTAGATATTTGTTCCTCAGTCATCAAGTGGTCCCCCAAAAGCCTGGGATGCTTGGTAGAACCAGGAGTGGGGCTTCCATTCAATTAATTGCTCAATGCCAGGCCTTATGCCAGGTATATACTTTTTTCCCATTATATTTGATTAAGGAAAAACATATCCTAATAACTGCACCAACTCAGGGAAAGAGCGACGCGTGGAGAAGACACTCAGGGTTCTCCCCAGGGGCCCTGGGGAACGAGGTGAGGGCTAATATTGGAGCTTCATTACAAATACATGAAAACCTTGCTAAAGTTCCTGTCCTAGGCGTTCAATGACTATAGGTCACCGCACCTAAGATACATGTTTGTTTTAAATTATTCTCTTATTCTCTGGCGTCTCTGCTTGCCCTTGTCCCAAGAATGGATTTTCTGGTCCTTCTGGGGCACTTGCAGCTGGAGAAAGCATGGGACACTATTCTGCTTGGCAGTCACAGTCTGTGCAGAGTTGGACTGAAGCTCTCATAAGCTGCCAGTCTGACTTACAGGGGGCTTAATGAATCCACCATCCAGTGAGTGCCCCTAGCGAGGCTGTTCCAGGAGACTGGGGTTTGCTCCAGAAGAGCAATTCTGACAAATTGACAAGGCAATAGGAGATCATTAGACTGCCAAGTGCCTCTGTAGGCAGAGAGTGGGACACTAGACCCATTTGCCACGTTTCCAGAGAAGTCCTAGGTGGAATACTAATGTTCAAACTGACCCATGGCCCGGGGGGGATGGGCCTTGACACATCATTCTGTACAGATGGCCGGATCCCCTGGAAGCTGGACATAGGAATTCCTATGAATAACTAACTCATCATTGTATGTCTGTTTGTTCCCATGGATCTTTTTCTGCATGCACTGCAAATGGCTCACAAGGCCTTTATACCATGTATTTTGTGTGCTAAGCTCACACTTGATTTCATTTTTCTCTTTATTACTATTAAAGCTTTCATTTTCTCTTTGTTCTACATTCCTCATCTACTTATTTGAAATTCAATTTTATCTATTTTTATATTGAATGGATTTAGATAATCCACCTCAAATCCTTTCTTCAAAAAAGAAGGTATAAATAAATAAACAGGCAAATAAACATAATCTCCGTGTGAGATGGACTTGAATTCCACACAGTGGTAAGAATTTGTCCCAATAACTCCAGGAAGCAAAGAAAACTACAGGTGAATTTTAGGCATAGGTGGATTTTCTTGCGTTTTTACGGTGGCTCATTTTTTGCAGGTTGAGGGTAGGACATTCCAGTCATGGTCTGGAGCTGATTTGTTCTAGCTCATAAGAGGTGACTGTTACATTTGCAGAAATTTTGATAGCTCAAAGTCAGCCACAGTGGGAGTATTTGTACAACAGAAGTTGTCAACATTAAAATTAAATTTATGTTTTTGAGAACTGGTTTACTGGCATGCCACTGAGTTTACCCTTCTTCCTGTCTTCTAAATTTGAATTTAAAGTAATAACATTGTCTTTTGAGGCTTACATTATAGGTCAATGTATTATAGATTAGAATAGAGGGTGTCAAAATTCTGACCATTGAGACTTAAGTGAAGGTAATAGCATGTAGCTGTAGTAACCTACCTAACCAGCTGTGTACAAATGTGGTCCTATTTTGTTTCTGTTTCAAATTAAAACCACTGAAGCATTCACATAATTAAGTTGGATATACACTATCTTCCTGGGGTGGGGTCCCTTCTTTCTCTGGATTTTCCAAGAGGTCTGGAGCTTTCTCAGTCCAAAAAGGACCTTTGTGACTCCAAGTACCCCAGAGAGAGATTGGGGGAAGATAACCAGTCCCCTATCTCGCCCAGTTTTCTGATACCTGCTTCAATGAGTGCCTTGTGTGGTGCTACTACCTAGATGGTACTTAGTGGTTTATCTAGTCTTGAAATATCCCGCTGTTATTCCAGGGTGTGTGTGAGTGTGCATGTGGTGTGGTGGGGGTGTGCGTACAAGGACAGAAGTTGGCCCTCTAACTTGGTGGGTAGCAGAGCTACCCTAACTTATGGTCACCATGTACCATGCTAGCCCTAAGCTCTTGATGCATCCTTTAAGTCCCAGATGGAGAATGATCGCAGTTCCTCAGTATTAAACCTGGAAAACAATGCTTCATGCCATGTATGGCCTGACTTTCCAATCATGCAGCTCTATGGATTCACTTGTATGGTCATTTCTCCAGGAGCACTGTCTCTCTTAGAAGGGCCAGAGAGGGCCAGTTCTATTATCTGCCTCACCTAAAACCATGTCAATTTTCTTGTTTTAGAACAGAGAGATCCAAAGCAATGATGTCTTCATTGGAATGGGGGATGACCAGCTATGGAAGTAGGGTAAAGGAGTCAGGTGGGCAGTGCCTTTCAGAGTACTCCGAATGGGATGGTCACTGGAATTGGAGATTTAGTGCATGTTCTATAAGGGCAGGAGCTGTCTCTCCTGTTTGAGTTTCCCAATAAATGAATGTTAGAAGATTGGCAAGGCCATCTCTACCCTGCAGTGGATACTGCAGCCTCTCAGTTCATGATTATATTCATCATTTAAATCTATAAGCTACTGTGATTCTGGTCATTTTAGGTTACCCCCTAACTGGGATTAGGCTTCTATGTAGTTCTCCTGCAGGGAGAGACTGTTTGGGTCCTGCTGACAAGACTTTTCTGGTCTAGCCTGGAAAGTAGAGCAAGACCTCGTCTTTACAAAAAAACTTAAAAAATTAACTGGGCATGGTGCATGCACCTGTAGTGTTGAGGCTGCAGTGAGCCATAATTGTGCCAGCGCACTCCAGTCTGAGAGACAGTGCAAGAACCTGTCTCAAAAAAAATTTTTTTTTCTGCAACATGTGACAATTCTATTTCTCATCAGAATTTTTAGATATACATTTTGATTAACCTTTCAAAATCTTGCTAGTGTAAAGACATTGAATCTATCTCTCAGAATTTAATCATATCTGGGCCTCTGACAAAAGTAAATTATTGGATCAACTAGACTGTAGACAGACCCCAGTGTGTGGTGCATCATCCAAGATGCTGCCACTCTGTGAGATCATTTTGAGCTTATCCAACCTTGCCCTAGTTACAGCCTAGTCTCAATGTGGGCTGTATCCATCAGGGTACAACCAGGAAGGAAATCACTCCAGGAATTAAAAACAGAGGGAAATTAATATAGACAACTGCTTACGTAGGTAAAAGAAAAGCTACACCTGGGGTTAGCAATGCAACCTAGAGGTTAACATCAACAGTAGGCTGGAGGTTGGAAGGACATAGGGTGGAGGCAATATTGTCAGAATTTCCTGCCAATATTTCCCACTGGCCAAGCTCGGCTAGAAGCCAGCACACATGTGCTGGGGAAATTCACTTTTCAGGTTGAGTCCCTGCATGATGCAGCTCTGTCACCTGGAGCAGAGCAGGTAAAGGACAAGGGACAGGCTCTGCTGACCCACTCTGCCCCTGTCTCATCAGAGACTGCTGAGGGATGGATACACTCTAGATAAAATCAATGTTGCTTTGAACAATCCCTGAGTTCCCCTTAGGACTGTGGTTCTCACTCGGTGGTAAGGGGATTCCAGGTGAGGGTAATGAGATGTCTGGGTAGGAACCAGGGATGACAGAACCTGAAAGCATTCTTTTTCAATTCCCAGGTCAAACTGGGGGGGAGATTTTGAGTCTGAGACCTTTTGGCTTGTTAGGAGCAGCTGTGGAGAACCTGGATGTGGCTTACCCTTATCTCCTTTCCCCTGAGCTAGTAGTGTCTTTAATGTGCTGTTCCTCAGCAGGATTACTATGGTTTTCAAGTTCTAATGGAATTCTTTTAATTTTCTTTTTAAAGTAACAATAATAGCATTTTCTTCCATTTTAATGCTCTTAAGTGGTAAAGAATCTAGTTAGCATTTATGGCCTGCATTTTCTCCAACACTCATATAATGCTATGCAGTAGACACTAATATCCCCAGTTTGCAGATGATGATCGGAGCCTTAGAGAGGTGAAATAATGTGTTCAAAGTCACACAGTTATTATACATTTGTGTTTTTATACCCTATCTTATTCTACAAGACAATGTCAATGGGGTCACATGACCAGTAAGAGAAGGATTTGAAATTAAAACAGAGGCCTGTGTTCTTATCACTAGAATGCAATTCTTTTTCTGCTCCATAATATCAGAATACGAGACCACAGAAAATCTCAAAGGTTGAAAACTCCTGCTTTTTCCTTCTCTGCCTGTGTGCCTGACTGTATATTGGATAAATTTCAGGCCTTCATTTTAGGAGTAGAACAACAGTTCCTATAGCCGAAAAAGCCCTGAGGAGATCATCAGATCCTTTGCAAACAAAATTATCTTCCTTTCTTCAATTTGGAAACTGAGACCTGGAAAGGTTACAGGACACATCCAAGACCACACATAGTGCCATTGTTGTTATAGAATATTTTCTAGTTGTAAGCTGAACAGAATTCTCTGTCTATCTCTATCCAGGAAAATGTACGCTGTTTAGGGACCCAAATTTTCTCTCTTCATATACTGGGCAATCTGGTTTTGATCCATAAAGAAAGCATGGGAAGCAAGATGGAAATTTTTTCTTGCAGAACATTTGCATTAAGTCAAGCTGGATGAGGATGATCCTGAGATGGCCCCGGCCCTGTTCATGTTACCTGTGTGTTGCTGAGTGGTCTTCTGTTGGGTGAGTGTGATGGGAACATCCTAATTTGCTCAGGATAAAGCTATAGAAGAAGACTGTTCATTACCCTCAGGCCCTTGGCTCCATTTAAATAACCTTCTAGTCCTGTCAATTCTGAATACAGAATGCCTTTGTTTTATTCAGAGTAAACTCCCGTGTTCTTTCAGTAATCTGGAAAGCCAAGCAAGAGATGTCCCACTCAGTGTCTCTGACATTTGCCTCTACCACCCACATTTTTTATAATTTCCCTCCAACCACATCAGCTTCTTCACTTTATTGTGAATACACTAGGTTTCTGATCTTTGACATAAAGGCTCTGCCCCAAGATATCTACTTGGTTCTCCTCTTCATTTAGGTCTGTACGCAAATACCACCTTCTTAGAGAGGTCTCTTCCAAAGTCCCATTGAAATAATTCTCCATCCGCACCTGCCACTCTCTAAATCCCTTTTCCCACTTCGGTTTTCTTTAGAGATCGTATCACCCTCTCACACATTATAGGCTTATTTGTCTATTGTATATCTATATGCATTAGACTGTAAGTCCTGAAGAGAGGATTTGAGCATTAGCCATGGGCTTGCCCATACCCTTAACAAATACAACAGTGCCTGAAAGCATAGCAGGCACTCAAAAATAATACGTTGAATAAATGAATGAATGACTCATTTTCTCTTCTTCCATTCTACTGCCTTCTCTGAGGCCTCATCACTTCTTGCTGAAACCATTCCAATAGCTTTCTGATTTCCCTGACTTATTTCCTTTAATTTCTCCTTCACACAACTACCACAATAGTAATTATAAAATACAAATCTAATCATGTCCTTCCTTTCTTTAAACCCCTCAGTGGCACTCTATTACCCTTTACGGTCAAATTCCTACCTGCCTGCCAAGTCTCATCTCCTACTTTTTTTTTCTTTGTGGACTTTTTGTTATAAAATTAAATTTTCACCTTTCCACCATAAGATTTCTCCTGTGTTCATTTTCCATTTGCTGCTGTGACAATTCGGCACCAACTTTGTGGCTTAAAACAACACACATTTATTATCCTTCAGTTCTAGAGGTCAGCAGTCTGACACTGGTCCCACTGGGTTAAGGTCAGGGTATCAGCAGGGCTGTGTTCTTTTCTGGAGGCTCCAGGAGAGAATCTATTTCCTTGCCTTTTATAGCTTCTACAGGCCACCCCCATTCCTTGACTCAGGGCCACCTCTTTTCATCTTCAAAACCAGAAATGTAGCATCTCTCTGACCCTGTTTCTGGCATCACATTTTCTTATTTGACTCTCTTCTTCTGCCTCCCTCTTCCATTTGTAAGGATGCTTATTGGGTCCATGCAGATAATTTGGGATCATGTCCGTATTTTAATATCATCTGATTAGCCATCTTAATTCTACCTCAACCTTAATTCACCTTTGCCTTATAACCTAACATATTCACAGGTTCTGGGAATTAGGATGTAGACACCTTTGCGGGGAGGGCTCTTTTCTGCCTAGTACAGTTCCCTTCACCAGGTGTCTTTTCCTCTTGATATTTTGTATCTGTCTATAGCCTATCCATTTATTTCCCTCATTCCTTAAGTCTCATCCTCCAAGTAAAAGTAACCTGACCCTACATTTTACCCCTACAACATGTTTTCCCAAACTTCTCTTAAGGAAGGTAATACTTTTTATCTTATATTACATATTTTCATGTGCATGCCTTATTACCGAAATCAGAGTGCTAGCTCCTGGATGGCAATAACTGGTCATAATTTAAGACTTCCATGTATATTTAAGTGTTTAACAGAATTTGTTGTTGAAGAATGAATTAGATGAAAAGTAAGTAGGAAAGAACAAATTAGAAAAGAAAGGAAGACAGGAAAGGAGGTATGGAGGATTTTTGTAGATAATCCACTTTCTCTAGAGACACAGAGATAATGGCTAAATCCTCAGGTCACACTGTATCTATTCTATAGCTCTTTTATGGGTAGTCAGAACGGACTTGATTTCATCTCTTACCTACCTTTTTGAATACAGGCCAAATGTTACTGAGGTGATCTGGGCAAAAGCCTTGAGGGACTGAAGCATTCAAATGTTCACAAACTCCTCCTCCTCTTGGACTAAGGTCAAAGTATCACCAGGGCTGTGTCCTTTTCTGGAGGTTCCAGGAGAGAATCTATTTCCTTGGTTTTGTTTTTGTTTTTGTTTTGTTTTTGTTTTTTTTGAGACGGAGTCTCGCTGTTGCCCAGGCTGGAGTGCAGTGGCGCCATCTCTGCTCACTGCAGGCTCCGCCCGCTGGAGTTCATGCCATTCTCTTGCCTCAGGCTCCCGAGTAGCTGGGACTACAGGCACCCGCAACCTCGCCTGGCTAATTTTTTGTATTTTTAGTAGAGACGGGGTTTCACCGTGTTAGCCAGGATGGTCTCGATCTCCTGACCTCGTGATCCGCCCGCCTCGGCCTCCCAAAGTGCTGGGATTACAGGCGTGAGCCACCATGCCTGGCTTTCCTTGGTTTTTATAGCTTCTACAAGTGACCCTCATTTCTTGACTAATGGCTACCTCCTTTCATCTTCAAAACCGCATTTGTTATATCATTTTACTTCCACCTGAATATCCAGTGACCAGAAATCTTTTTTTATACCCAAAAGATCCAAATAAAAGACATTACCCATATGCTTCCTGAAGTTTTTAAGACCCAAATATATTCAATATCCTTGAGTTAAGTAGTAAGAAACTAAATTATGGGAAGTAACATGACAAAGGACAGATTTGACATCAACAGGTTTGGGTTTGGAACCCAAGTCTCAGATGTCACTTCTGTAATATGGAGTTGATACCATTTGCCTCACAGTGTTGTTGTGTAGGACCAACGAAATTATATATATCAAGTGTCCATCATAGTACCCATATAGTAGGTGTATAGAAGAGGTTTCTTCTTGAGCCCCAGCCCACAAATAAGGAAATGTTGCTATTCCTGGGACTCCTGTTAAGACAATGGAGTGAAATTGGGTCTCGTTTGTCTACATTCTTGGATGTCATTGATTCTGTGCAGTAATACCAGCCTCCAGGGTACAAAGGTACCAATGCACCCTAGTCTCTAAGACATTAGCTGATGAATCAAAGGCAACACTGGAGAGAGCAGGACCAGCTGTGGTTCAAAAGTGACTTCCCACCTGGCTTGTGACAGTGACCAAAGTCTAGAGATGGAAATCTACCAGCTGAGTTCAGGGAACAGATTAGCCCAACAGATACAGCAAAAGTGTCCTTTGCCTATGCCTGGCTTCTACAACTTCTCACAGATAAATTCCAGCCATCTTTTTGATGGCTGTCACTGTCGTTTCTCTCTCAACTGTAAGTTAAGAAGAATCAAGCCCAAGCTAACAGTGAAAGTATTAGCCAATTGATAACCACGCTCTACTTTGAAGAGCACTATAGAAGCATGGAATTTTATTTTAACTGGTCAGATATCACATGTGCTCAGCCACCAAGAGCCTTATTTATTGTCGTGATGGAAGCCAGATACAGGGATGCAGTTAAGAAGGAGAGGATAGCCGTAATTCCTTGATGTCTTTTTAAAGCCTTGACTCATTTATACTGACTGAAGCTGAGGCCAGGAATGGAGAAATTATTGAGCTCCTCACTTGAAAAAGTGAGGAGCTGTCAGACATAGTGCCTGGCCACACAGCATATTTGAAGAGAAGAGATTTTTATAAAGGTTTGTGATGATTTGTAGCAATTCAAAGCTTCCCTTAATAGGGAAATGTATTGCTCAAGGGCTGGATATGCGATGACTTTTGGGCAATCACTATGTCTTGGTTCCCTTATACTTTTGAGGCAATAGCATTTCGCTAGGAAAAAGATTCCCTCTATGAGTATCACTTGTTTATATTCTGGACATGGTAGCATATATGTATATTCTGACCAAGAGTCATACACTCGCGGATCTAGACACTGAGGTGGTTCATATCCACAAGCCCATTGATCTACAAGAAGAAACTGCAGCTCTTGAGAGCTAGGAGTAAAAAACTGATCTCTTCTTTGCTTTTTTTTTGGCATGCCTGAGTGTACCTGCTTTGCTAAATCCAGCATTGCTAAATCCTCCCTTTGCACAGGGTTTTCATTTGCAAAGTTGCTAGTTACTGAACATTTGCAACAGAAGCATAGGCGCTAGTTGAGCTTTGGACATGTCTTTCACTATTTAAGTGCGATAACTGGGGAGGGTTTTAAAAGATAACTAGAAATTTGTCAAGTTATGAGGGTAATGATATTATAGGTAAAGAGCACTAAATGTACAAAGGTATAGGCCACCATCTGCCCTCCCTAATGCCCCACAAAAGCTGGTGGGGGAACTCTAAAGAGTTCAGAATGACTTAAATGTAAGGCGCATGGAAAGGGATTGGTGAGACATGATGTAGGAAAGGGAAGAAGGGCCATTAGTACCAAGCTAGGGATGCACATCCATACTTTATTCCAGATTATAGCTTTTCAGATATGGGCCATCTACTTACACATCTTACCAAAGTCAGGAAAAAATAAAAGAATCCAGGATCAACCCGTTTGGACCTGAGATAGAGATACCCTTGATGCCAGCCTGTCCTTGTCTCCTGCCTGAGGGTAGATATTTGGGTTTCTATTTTAGACTCTGTGCTTGAATCCATGGGTTAATAATCAGCTTAGCATTCTGGTTCTCTGTCTGCTACAGTTATTGTCTACTACACTGCTATAGTTTGAATAATTGTCACTTCCAAAACTCATGGTAAAATTTAATTTCCAATGTGGTAATATTGAGCGTTAGGGCCTTTAATAGATGATTGGGTCATGAGAGCTCTGCCTTCATGAGTGGATTGATTCATTCATAGATTAATGGATTAATGAGTTATCATAGGAGTTTTACTGGTAGCTTTATAAAAAGAAGAAAGATCTGAGCTAGCACACTCAACCCCCTCACTATGTGATGCCCAGAGCCACCTCAGGACTCTGCAGAGTCCCCACAGCAAGAAAATCCTCAACAGGTGCAGCCCCTCAATCTTGGATTTATCATCCTCCATAATTGTAAGAAATAAATTTCTTTTCTTTATAAATTACCCAGTTTCAGGTATTTTGTTACAGGTAAGAGAAAAAGGACTAAGACATTTACCAAAAGCAGATATGGCCCTAGTCTTCAGTCTGGATTGCCACATTGGCAATCTGATGCTAACTGCCTGCCCCACCACCAGGGACTACCTACCAAGGAAATTCTTCTTCTTCTTCTTCTTCTCCTTCTCCTTCTCCTTCTCCTTCTCCTTCTCCTTCTCCTCCTCCTCCTCCTCCTTCTCTTCTCCTTCTCCTTCTTCTCCTCTTCTTTCTTCTTCCTTCTTCTTCCGTCTTCTTCCTTCTTCTGCTGCTGCTTCTTCTGCTGCTGCTGCTTCTGCTGCTTCTTCTGCTGCTTCTGCTGCTTCTTCTGCTGCTTCTGCTTCTGCTTCTTCTTCTTCTTCTCTTCTTTCTTCTTCCTTCTTCTTCCTTCTTCTTCCTTCTTCTTCTGCTGCTGCTTCTTCTGCTGCTGCTTCTTCTGCTGCTTCTTCTGCTGCTTCTTCTTCTGCTGCTTCTTCTGCTGCTTCTGCTTCTTCTTCTGCTTCTTCTTCTTCTTCTTCTTCTTCTTCTTCTTCTTCTTCTTCTCCTTCTTCTTTCTTCTTTCTTCTTCTCCTCCTCCTTCTTCTCCTTCTTCTCCTTCTTCTCCTTCTTCTTCTCCTCCTCCTCCTCCTCCTCCCCCTCCTCCTCCCCCTCTTCCTCTTCCTCTTCCTCCTCTTCTCATACTTTTGCTCCTGTTGGGCTGGAGTGCAATGGCGCGATCTTGGCCCACTGCAACCTCTGCCTCCCGAGTTCAAGTGACTCTCCTGCCTCAGCTTCCCGAGTAGCTGGGATTACAGGCATGAGCCACCACGCCCAGCTAATTTTGTATTTTTAATAGAGATGGGGTTTCTCCATGTTGTTCAGGCTGGTCTCGAACTCCCAACTTCAGGTGATCCACCCACCTCAGCCGCCCAAAGTGCTGGGATTACAGGCGTAAGCCACTGCGCCTGGCCAATTCTTCTTTTCATAAAGCTACCAGTACGACTCCTATGATAACCCTTTAATCCATTAATCTTCATGAGTGAATCAGTCCACTCATGAAGGCAGAGCTCTCGTGACCTAATCATCTATTAAAGGCCTTAACGCTCAGTACCACCACATTTGAAATTAAATTTCACCGTGAGTTTTGGAAGTGACAATTATTCAAACTATAGCAGTGTAGCAGACAATAACTATAGTACGCAGAGAACCAGAAAACTAGGCTGATTATTAACCCATGGATTCAAGTACAGAGTCTAAAACAGAAACCCAAAAATCTACCCTCAGGCAGGAGACAAGGACAGGCTGGCATCAAGGGTATCTGTATCTCAGGTCCAAAAGGGTTGGTCCTGTAATTATTTATTTACTTATTT